>NC_000002.12:155368405-155671436 GCF_000001405.40 Homo sapiens
AATCCTGATCTGTTTTGGAGCCAATAGAAGGCCTCTGGACAGTCAGGGTTTCCACAAGCGGTGGAAAATGAACAGCAGAGTGAGCAGACAAGGCTTTGCTCTTCTGTTGTACCTCTTCTTCACCCAGAAACTTATTCTTCTGCATAAATTGAGATCTTATATAAAATTTTATTTGATGTAAGTTTCCAAACATTTTACAAATGTGAAAACATTGAGTTAGTGAGTATAAAATAGCCTTACAAATCTTCAGATTAGAGCCTTCATCTTCCCTGATGGCCTCTACTCCTGCCTGATGCCTAGCATTGCTCTTGGCCGAGGGCAGCAGGCATTTATGGAATGGAGGCTCAGCAACAGGACTTTGTTCTTTCTTGTTTGATCTGGTAGAGACTTGGTTCCTGAGATCCTGTTTTTATTTTCATAGCTTTTTTTTTTTTTGCTTCTTTTTACAATTTAACACTCCCCTTTCAAACAGGATTGGGCCCCTAAAATAATATTTTCATGTTGTGACTGTTTCTTGGCCATAATGGGATGTACTATGTTAAATCTGTAAATGGGATTACATGACACTGGCTGTGGGAAGTATAGGAATACATGTACTAGAAAGCTGCCCTCATTTATACACGCACCCTTATCAGAACTGAAGTTTACAGTTGCTTTGAACAGCTCCAGGATGCAACATTCACCTTCACAGTTTAGATTTCTAGAATTATTATGACCTTATGCCAGCAGATGGCAGTAAAATATTTTATTTTTAAGAAGGCAAAATATTCTAATTAGCACAAGTTGCACAGGGTGGATTTCTACTACCAAACACAGTATGGATTGATTTTTAAAAGTTGGTAATTGTTCATTAAATGAATGGATGCCCTGCATGCCAATTAAAAACAACTGTGGAAAATTGTCATAAATGAAATGAAGTGAATGATTCTGGATTTAATATTAAGGTAAAAATGTGGTGGCCCAAATTTTTTGAAGTCTTGTTTCAGTCCATTTTCCCTTGCCTGTGAAAGTCTGAAATCATTCTATATCTATACCTTGGCAAAATATTCTGAGAAGTGAGAAACTGGCACATGTTGGCATGGATACCTAACATCCACACCGTTTCCCTCTGACAAGTTATTAACAGAAATGCTTCACTGAAACTGATGGGCTTTGCTTTACTGAGGAAGCATTTTCTGCCAAAATATTTCTTTTCTGTAACAGGGCCAACCGAAATGGTCGATTTGGGTTCTTGCTTTAATCTCCTTTACTTCTTTCTTCAATTAGATGTAAATTTCACAGACTTGGCTTATAGAGATCATCAAACATTTACTAAGTACTTATATTATTATTTCCTTCCCATTTTCCTATTCCTAACCTAATCCAGCTCTCATTCTTTTATGTATCTTTCTCAAAGAATTTTAAACTGATCTCTCTGTCTCTAGCTCTTCTTTTTTCCCTCCAGTGCATCAAATGCTGATAAATTATTATTATTTTTTATATATGGCCCTGTGACTTTTGGTGATTTGTCTCACCTGTTAATTTGGCGTGTGGAATGGTTCTAGAATCACCTTGAGGTCTAGTGTGCCTTAAATGCCCGTAGGTTTTGTTTACTTTCTATATTCTTTTCTTTCTCTGTGTGTGTGTGTGTGTGTGTGTGTGTGTGTGTGTGTGTGTGTGTCAATTCAGAAAGATTGAGAGTGATTCTGCCAGTGGCACCGTCTTCCCAGAATCCTCTCAATTAAAGTGTTTTTAATTAAATTCAAGTATGTAATATATGTATAATTTTCAGTACAGCATACATAGTGTAGCCACTTTATATCTATTGACATTTTATACCTATCTATTGACATTTTTATATCAATAGCTACTCTCATTCTTGATATATGCAATCAGAATATTGGGAAATATATATGCAAAATAGTAAAGTTAGTTATGACTCCTAGTATTTTATGATTGATAGAATTGTAGGTGTTTTTTTAAACTTCTCTCTTGAGTCTTTTTAATGAATAGAAAGACATGTATATGTACATATTTGAAAAAATTAATGCAAATTAGAATCAAAATTTAGATAGACTTACCCTGGAAAACTTTGGCAATTGGTTACCACATCTATGGCTAAGAAAATGAAAGATTTTCTTATGCCTAGTCAGTCACACACCAAGGGAAAAAAAAAAGAGAGAAGGAATGAGGAACAAAGTAAAGTGACAAACTTTACAAAAAAGCATAATACTATTACAAAGCAAGTTAAAACATAATGTAATTTTATTCAATGAATACAGCTTAAGAATTCATTTGAACTTGATACTTGGCACTTTCTCTTTTGAATGATACACACTTAATGATAAAGATTATGTTTCATTTTGTATAGGTCAAAAAGGGTTTGGTATGGCTATCAATAATGATTAAATTATCTTTATATTATAAACCTACTTTATTAATTTTTAATTATTATAATCAACTTATAAACACAGGTTATCAAAGGTTTGCATATATTTTAGGCAATAAATAGATGCTATAATCTTGAATCATAAAGTAATTGTAGATCTGAAAACCCACAAGAAGTGAAAGTGAATCGAACCACATATGGAGAAGTATATATATGGGCCAGTTTCTTAGTTGACATAGTGGTCATTACACAGGCTAAAGTGAATAGTAACAGAAATAAATAAGTATCTTCCTCACAGAGAAAAATAAGGACAAATAAGGAAACTAAATGTTTGCATGAACAAATGAAAGGAGTTAGTACAAATATGCTCAATTCTTTAATCTGTGCTGCAGTAAATCCTGCCTACATTAGATATATGCAGAAATGGAGTAAAAACATAGTATTTAGAGTTTGATGACAATCTAAAGAACAAAAATGAAATAAAATGTTAACGCTAGAAAATGGGACTAAGAGTGGAAGAACTTTTATATTTTATTTTATAGAATTTTGTATTGTTCAGAGTTTTTTTTACACATGCATGAGTTATTTTTATAGTGACAAAAATAAATGTTCATTGATGATTATCACATGTTAGCTCTACACCAGTATATCAGGATGTTTTATTATGAAGTACTTCTTTTAAAATGTCTTTCATCTTCTATTCTGATATAGGTCAAAGGTATTTTTTACTTAGTTTTTGCCAAACATTTAAAGGCAGAATACTAGGTACATTTAAATGACTTGAATGTTTGCACATATTATATTGCCAAAAATTGCTTTTTAAAAAACAACTTACAGAAAGTTGTGTGGTATCGAAACCTAAAAAGAATGCATAAAAGCTGATTTGCATAACACTAACAAAGAGTAAAATAACCCTTTTTAATAAAATGCAATTTTATGAGTCCAATTGATGAAAACATTTAATAACAATTGAGCAAATTAGAGAGAATTTTATGAATCTATGTATTATTTACTAATGTAATAGAGAAAATTGGATGTGCAATATGAGGGAACTTGAATTTCACAATTTTTATGTAACCCTAATCTTGCTCTAAAATAAAAAGTTTATTTTATAAGCCATTCAAAATCAAATTGAGAGTAGCATAACTTTTTACAGCCACTGCGTTTTTCAAAAAGTTTTCCTTTCAAAAGAAATGACCTTCTCTCTACTCAGAAGACTGCATTGCAATTTTAAATAGTCAAACCGGTTCACTAGTCACATCTCTGAAATTTACTGTGCTTCCCACCAATAAGCAAAGTATGGAAATATGTACAGGCACTAACCAGTTGAATCATTTCATGGTTATCCAATCAGTTTAGCCATCTTGAAATCAATGGCTCCTCATGACACAATTGATTGAGCGACAGTGATCAGTGTTGATGGTGAAAGTGTCAGCAATGATTGAATTGGCTGTGTTGCAGGTTAGATTAGCTGCCTATACTGGAAGTATTTCAGGTGGTAAAACTACAGAGGCATTCTTATTGGCAGTTAGATTTGGGGCAGTACAACTAACATTGTCATTCCCATTAGCTACTTTAAATTATCCATTCCTTTACAACCTTAGGATGTCATTTGTTAAATACTACATGTTCTCCTGGAAAAAAAAAAGTAGTTTTCTGTTTAGATTGAATGGTCATTTTGATTAGAGCACTGGTGTTTACCTGTTTAAAGCAATTATAGAAAACACACATTCTATTGCAGATATTGTAGTCTTAGCAGTCAAGGAACTACTGTGACCTTCAAGAACCAAAAAAAAAAAAAAAAAAAAAAAAGCAACAAAAAAGGAAGAAAATATATTTTATATGAGAATCCAAGAACTATTAAGGTATTGGTAATTTTTTAAAATATGAAAAAGTCTATAACCTTGCTATGATTACTCGTTAAAATTTAGCCGATACCTGCTCCCCATCAAAGATGAACTTTAAACAGGCTTCCATGTCTGTTGTATAAACGTCTCAGCTAGTTCACGTGTGAGTTGAAAATGTAGTAAAAGTACTTTTTACCTTCTATCTTGAAGGAAAGTTGACTCTATGCTGTTATAAAGCCAGAACCTTGGAGGAGAAAGTGATGGAACAAGAATTAAAACCATTTTTATTCTCTCAAAATTTAAGACAGCAAAATCCTGAATTTGGTTAAAATAGTAAACAATTGACTTACTCTAGGTAAAAAGCATATGACACAATATAGAATAGTAGTTTACATTTTCAAATAAAAGCATGCCACATTATAATAAAGGCAGGTTATTTGCCATCTTTTATTTTATTTTCCATTACCATGACATGCAGCTCGAAGTCCTACAAAAAGGGAAGTCACATCTTCAAGTAATTTCCTCAGTTTCTACTAGATGGAGCCAAAGTATAAAAAATAGGTCCTTGTGGAGCTACACATTATAAGGAACCCTAACTAAAGCTGTTTCGTTAGTGTAATAAAGCAATGGAAAATTATAAGAAACTAAGTTTATATCTAAGGCCATTTACTAGAATCATTTGAACTTCAATCATGGTCCATTCACATACTTTTTTGTGAAAAATTCTTTATATTTAAAACATATACTCTCATGGAATGTTTCTAGATTCATTTGCCAATTATTGATATTTTTCTCATATGTATATATTTTAAAGTCATTAGTAATAATAACCATTATTTGAAACATATACAGCAAAATACAGTTTAGTCAATTTTTTTCTAAAATTACTTTTATTTTTGTTCAGAAAAAGGAAAAGAGGGAAAAGAAAATGATCAGTGAAAGAAATGATGAAGTACGCTACCAAATCAAAGAATAGTTTATAGTAACTTAAAAAGTTAAAGATAAGAAAGAAATGTTAACATAATTTGTTTGAACTATTCATTTACATGTTATTTTTTAAAAAAATTGTTTCCTGTATCACATCGCTAAATTGTCCATGTCATGACTAGCTAGCAGTGTAGACTCCCCTTACTTTTCAGACACTTTTTGGCTAGCTGAGTGGTGAGCTAAATAAATCAAAAAAAAAAAAAGGAACAAAAGTTTTCTGTTGTAATTTTGCTACTTTAGGTATAATCTTATTTTAATGTCTTAGAAAGTAACAAGAATTTTTGAATATACAAATAAAACTGAATGTAAATACCTTCTTTTTGTTGGGATTTTTTTTAACTTTTTTCTAGGGATAGAAGCCTACAAAGTCAATCACAAAGAAAATTAATGTATTGATAAATTATTTTAATTAAATAATAGAATTTGTGATTTCAAAAATCATATTTGTCAGTATGTAAATTATTTGCAACTTCATAACACGGTTAAATTTATTTCATATACATGAAGGAGGTACTCTTGAGATCTTTGACAAACAGTTGAATCCCAGGATGATGATGGCAGGAACCTTCTTTGACTAAGTTATTCACATTTATAAAATTTACTTCATTAGTTATTTTAGCAACTCTTCTTTTTCACTGGTTGTATGTTACCAATCTTCCTAGATAACGTTAAAAAACAGCAGTTTGAGTAATGAAACATTTTCCCATAAACCAATTTATTTGCCATCTTTAAAGCAAACATATTAGATGAGTAATTCTATTCTCTGTAATTCTACTAAATCAATCGTTTGAGTAGCTTAGTAATGTATAATCATGCCTTTTACAGATAAGCTAGGCCTATTGCTTCAATCCCAAGAGTCTATAACATACGGGTTCTGTTTACTACACAAAACTGCAACTTATCAATATTATCAGGCTACTCAAATAACAGTTGAGGTCAGGTTTAAAAAAAACACAAATTTAAATATCTTTTGTGGCAATATATTGAAAAACATCTAGTTGTTTTATTGATTTTTCTACTTGTTAATTGGTTAAATCAAGGTTGTGTTGTTATAACCATAGAGACGTTTAGGTGAAATAAATAGTAAATATAGTAGTAATTAGGCACCACATCGATAGAGCAGCAAGAGAGAGGTTGTGGTTTTTCAAAATGATTCAATATATCCTAAAATTTATATTGAGATTTTAGAGGGTGAATTTGATTGTAGTAAATATTTGTAAAATATGTTAGTGAACTAATTATCAGCCAGTTTTTCATTCTCATGAACAATTTGTGGAAATAAACTGGCATGTATTAAAGCAAAAAAAAATGCTTTGACAAAGCCAAAAAAATCAGATTTATAAGATCTCGCAGGTTATCAGAATGATAATGTCTAATAACCTCAAATAAATAAGTTTTTTTCAAAGAAATTAAAATTCTTCACATGCATTATTATTCAAAGTCTTATGGATTTACAGCTGTTATTGTAGCTCAGGCCAAAAAACATAACAAAGTAAGAAAATTCATAAAACCAGATAATTTATCAATAAAATTATATATTTTGTTCGAAATCATATAAGAATAACAAATATAGAAAGAAAGCAACGAAAGAAAAGGAGGAGAGAGAGCACAAGCAAGAGAGAGCATGTGCAGAAAGAAAAATACAAAGTGTAAAAAGTTGGAGGAAGAATTTAAAACATAAAATGTGTCTTGATTTTAATTAATTATTTAATGAATATTTTCTTTAACAATATACAATTTAGTTTATAAATGTTTTCAACGAAAATATTTATTGTGAAATCCAACAGGTATGCTCCTAACATTGTTATTGGACCACACGCATATCTGTTTTTATTGTATTTGGTCTTTGTCTTTTAACTGGGAATGGGAGCTGTAATTTCCCAAGTTTTGCTCTCAAGTCACATTATCAGGCAGAGATTATACCTGCCTTATTTATGTTTTCGTGTTGTTTGGTTTGTTACTAAAAAAAATTCCTATAACCGAGTACAGATTTATATATATATGACAAATAATTTGGACTTGCACTCACCTATTCTTCACTAATAATCCTGAATTAGAATATGCAACTACTAAAAATAAGTAGGTAAATAATCACAATATACTAAAAGTAACTTCATTTTATAATAGTTAAACTGAAGAAAAATCTGCTATTTATTTTAATATTGTTACTATGGTGGATAAGATGAAAGATACATAAGGAAACTTACAGAACAAAAAATAAGTGAATAACAAATGACCCTTAGCTCTTTTAAGAAGATATAATGCTGACTTTTTAATTTATTTATCAGAAAGGGAGTCTTAGTATCTGTTTATTACTATTAAAATCAGGATATTTTAATTTTTCTACATATAAACTAAAAATATATGTAGGTTTCCATGGCATCAGGTAGCACCTTTCCTGTTCGAAAAAGCTTATATATTAGACAATTGAGAAAATTTTGTAATATCATCTGAAATTTTAGGGATTGGAATATAAAATTTGTTTTCTGCATGAAACATTAAAAAAGAAAGGTACCATGTCATTACACATTATTGAGTGAGGGGAAAGTGGGTGATGCAACATCTTTATACCATAACATTTTTTTTTCAATTTTGGGGGTCATATGTCTACATAAAACACTTTAGAATATAGCTGATATAAAAATTGATGTGAAGCAATATTTCGAATGTTATACATTTTTATCCTGCACTGGGATATCTTCCCTTACTCTGTTCCCTGCCTATAGATGATATGCCTAAAGTGTTAAGGATAATCTATCAAACAACACATTTTGTTAAACATCTGCTGAAGAAGAGTTCAAAGTCTTGGAGTGCAGCCACAAAGACCAGAAGTAGAACAAAGTCAACTCTTCCTGTTGCTCCACTCTTTTAAAAATTTTATTTATCAGCTACTTAACGGGCCCAGAAGTTTGTAGGTGGAAAATATATTAGAGATTACTTTGTCAGATCCACACATTTTTTTTTCCCAGAGGAAACTGAAGCCGAAGAACCTGTCTCTTAAATTTAAGCTTATATAATTAACTAATAGTAAAGATAATCCTAAAATCTATTTCCACTGATTTTAGTTCTTATTCTTTTTTTATTTCAGTTCTTATTTTTAAATCACTTTTGCCCAAATTTCAGGCAAGCAATTACAATTAAAATGTGTATTCCTATAAATTTATATTTCTCTCAATAAAGGTATAAGTTGTTTTCAAGTTTTAACAGGATGATGTGATAAGTAGTCATTGCCATGGAGAAACATGAATTATGATCTTGAAGAACTTTGACCTCCATGTTTTAGAAGAGCTGGTTTTATGCTGGAAGCAAAAAGTGGAGATGGGTAAAAGAAAAGAAATAACTAATGATCATTTTGTTAGCTAAAGTTTTACAAATACTGTTTTCGAAAAGCAAAGGTTAAATAAAAGATATGCTTTCAGTACAATTGATTGTAAAGATCTATTGAATGAGAAAATATCAGAGATGCTATAAACTCAGGTCACAGACTGATGGAAAATCATAGGATGTTTTACTATTGAACATGAACTTCCCACATAAAAATAAGGCTGCATAAAAAGGCAAAAAAGGGAGGGAGTTCATTTTGTCCTTTGTGTTATCTTGTATGGATAATTTATCTAACACTAAAACAGACATTGGGAGTGCTCTATTATTTCATAGAATATTAAGTTAAAGTGCTATCTAATAGCCAAACACTTGCCTTCTAACCTTAACCAGGATTTCAGTTAAAAGATCAGTTTAGAATCTCATCACTAGATGGCATTGTTACACTTGAATACAATTTAAATAATACAATGACCAAATGAGCTAGTTAAATTAGTAGACAATTATCCCGGTTCTCCTCTTCCTTTTATGAGATGAAGCTGGTTACTTAGCCTGCAGGATAAATCCTATAGGATGCCCCACTCAGTCAGGGCTGCTTTTTCACAAGCTCTCTCTTCCCAGCTTTCACCTCAATCTGTCATACAGATTTGACACCGCATCGTTCCAACAGTACTCAGAAATGACATGTATATAATGTGGAATATTGTGCACATTTACAGCCGGGGCTCTTTCTCTTAAACATCGCTGGCTATATCTTGGCTTCTGGATTCTGCCTTGCTCAGTGTTCTTTACTTTTCACATATAAATGGATGCCTAACCCAAACTTTTATTATTACGATTATCTTAAAGCAAAACCAGAGGACAGCATACCTGATTTCTGTCATTTTTTCTGTTAGTATTTTCAAGCTTCCACTGAGCTTCCTGTAAGCTAATGAAGGCCATGGGACATACAGGGCAATGCTAACACATGATATTTTTATGATTCAGTTCCATGAATACTGCAAATGAAGTTAAGTGACATTCTATTGAAAGAGGTTCTTCTTTACTTCTTTATTTATTTCCTTAAGATCAACAAGACCAGTTCAATAAGCCTAGCAACCCATTTTCTTCCCCAGAATAGGCCTTAGCTTTGTTTTCTTATGTTATCATAATCTAGCACTTTTCCTGTTCTAAGTGAAAACCCACTGAAGAAGCAAAACCATTCCATTATGAGTGTTATCAAAAAGCAATACCATGCTGTTTTTAAATGAATACAAATCCAAAATGCATTGTAAAGTGTACCCAGCCCACACTTAGGTGACATCACCCACACATTCTGTGTGTGATTACTGTACATCGCATCTGCATATTTCACAAGAAGTACAATGCATTGTGGGTGGTGGTTTCTATTTACAAGAAGGGATGCTGGAAATACCCACATCACAAAGTGATATTTTTGTTTTATTAACATAATAGGGCACAGTTGTTTTGGCAGATTGCAATACAGCTGTAGTATATACTTTCTGACTAGGATTGCTACTTTATTCTTTTTCAAATGCCCTCCTCCATCCCCAAATCTGTACTTTCCCATGAATCTGAAAAATGAACTCTTTACATTCTTCTAACAGAAACCTTCTGAACACATACCTTCAATTCCTATGAAGAGAACATTGAAACCACAGGGCAGAGCGAGCAACAATATAAGCCACCTAATTAATTAATAGTTCACTATAAACAATGAACTACATGTAAATATTACAGTCCTTTTACATCCAAAGAACTAAGATTACACATGATAATTTTATTTGGCATTAATATGCACTAAGCAGAAGAATTTCTGCAGGAATTTATAATATAATGCAAACTTCTGTTAGACTGCTAACAGGCAAGAGGAAACTGGAAAAAAAAAGGGCTGGCTAAGTTAGCCTACAATCATCACTTACTTGAAGGAAAAGGCAGATCCTATTAGCTACAATTCTCAACACTCATAGTACTAAAATGTACAGTAATATAATTACATATATTTAACAGATTTTAGAGAACTTTCTTGACAAAGTACCCAGGGTCAAGATTTTTAAGCTCAAATTTGAATGTCTGTTTACCTTGTAAAATAATGTGTTATTAATTAATTCAGAAATTTGTTCATATATCATACAGGCTTACGAAGATGTTAAAAGCAAAATAGTTTTCTCCAGGCCAATATTTTCAAATAATTCTTGTTTTCAAATAATTCTTCCTGTTTACATTCTCATATTCCTTTTGATGCATTTGAAGATCACAAAGTAAAATGTTTCCTGATTCAGAATTTGGCTGTATGCAAATTTATATTTCCTGAGAGAGCACATGTAACTACTGAAACTGTGAATGAGAGAACCATTTTAATATTGTGTATTTGTATGGTTTTATAATTTATAATGTGGCTTAACGAATACTGATGTTGAAAATGAAACCCAGTTGTAATTCTACTAGCCAATGTTCTGATCAGCTCCTTAATTTAAATTTTACATGAAGCAAATTAAAGATTTTTAGTACAGTATTCCAAAGTCACTTTATATAAATGTTTTCTTAATATAATTTGTGATAAGTATTCATTTTCTTTGTAGAAAAAAAGGAAGCTTATTCTTTGAAGAAAAAAATATAAGCTACATAAAAACATTAGTCTGCTGAAGGATATTTCCATTGTTATTGTTCTCCCCTGAACATCCTAAAGAACTGCTATGAGTATGATTTAAGTTCCTACAGTGTAGATAATCTACAGTGTATTTCTCAAATGGTTATCTCCCGAGCTTCCTCATTAGTGCTCTTCCTCTCTCTCACAGGCGCACACACACACTTAGATGTGGACACTTACACTCACATACACTAGCTTTAGCTCTTTACTTCTCTATCAATTTTAAATTTATCCCTGAAGCTTGAAAGAGATATACATTGCATTGAACCTTGTAAATAGAGCTATCTATATCAGCACCCTTAGGGAAAATAGAGTGCCTTCACATGGCATAGAACTTTGTCTGAAAAAGTTTACATGTAATATAATTTTCTTTATTTTTTAATATAATGTTTAGTATGTATGTCTATCTAACTTGGCAAAACTATTTTGTCTATCACACTGACACGTTTTTAATCTTTTAAATATATTTTAAATGAGAAGCTGAAATAAACAACCCAGACCACCACTTGCATTGTTTGATTATTAATTCTGAATTCACTTCTCACAGAGTTTTTAAAAATAAATTCCTGACAGCAGATAATTCTGTTACAATCACCATGATAACCAATGGCCATTTTATTTGCAGTCTGCCTGTTTACAACTCTGTTTTAATATTGCCTTAAAGTATGACAGTGTGCTTTAAGACAAATTCAAAAGACATTTAGATGGCTTTATAAATGTAATTTCTTTTAGCATGACTTTAAATTTTTTAAAAAATGTGTTGTCTTATAAATTACAGGGGTTCACGTGTAAGCATTATTCAATTTTATTTGTATGAATTGCCTTGATGATGTTTTCCCTCAGAAAAGGATTGGGTTAAGGTAGACATAATCTTTAATTATTAGGCTTATAAATTTATTTCACTAAAAAGCCTACAATGCATTAATAGTGTTATTGATTTTATAAAACAAGTTCACTTTGCATTAACACAAGGTTCTCTTGAGGGATAGCTGGTGAGAAGTAAGTAGTTGCTTTGTAGGCACAAATGTCAGAGGGTAGGAAAGCACAGTGAAAGAATATTGGGACCAAAATTTGATAATCTAGTTCCTATCTCTGCCATTTTTATTAGCTATGTTACCTTTCGCTAGCTTCTAACATCACAGATCTCTATTTTGCTCATCTGTAAAATGATACTACCAAAACTTGCCTGGACTTTGCTACTGTTTAAGGGAGTAATTAAGTATTTTGATAGTCAATTCTTATAAATTCAAGGTGATATTACCCTGCACATCTTTCTGGTGGGATAAATACTTCTCATGAATATAAGAAGTTAGGTTTTGTCTGCCTCAAAAATTTGGCAGTATTTAACAATCAGGTATACAATCTGGCAGTTTGCAAGGAGTGCCTTCTCTTTTACACAAAAAATAATTTGACATTTTGGTAAAAATGGAAAGCATTTAGAATCTGAAGATCAAGGTGACAACAATTCTAGGTATTTTATTCTCAAGGTATCTCACACACACAGGTCTTTACAGAAATGTTTGTTATTATCAATATATTTCTTTATAAAGAAGTCTATATTTTTAATGAAAATGTATATCTATATATCTATAAAATATATGTATAGGTATATTTATAGATAGATATAATACGCACACATACATACACACATGCAAAATTGTCCTATCTCATTGAGATGGAGAAAACTGAAAACGACTGCTCTGGGATCAGATACTTAGTCTTCGTTTTATTTCATTTTAAATATCAGATTTGAAATTAATCCAAGGACCACTATGGAACAGAAAAAATGTGTGTGTCAACATCATCTTTGAAAACTAAACTTTGCCAGGCACAAGCTCTATTTTAGTCCTCAATTCAATTTTATGCAGATAATGAGATTAATTTGCAGGCTTCATTTCAATATTGTCTTTATTTTTAAAAAGCCCATTGACGGTGTCAAAGATTTTGATTAGATAATTTGATCACATTTCTCAAGCCAGATACAAATTAAAGTTGGAGCTAAAACAGAAAATCTTACTGTTTACTATTCAGAACAATCTTCCTATTTCAGGAAATGGCAGAGCTCCAAAAGCCACATGTGTACAAATGAAAATTCATAACATGTTATTCAAACTCCTGTTGTATTTGTGCAATTTACTAATTAGATATGGTAAGTATGAGCACTGAAATATCATAGTAATAGCATTAAAAAGGCCAAAAAACTACTTTTCTCAGTTCACTTCTCTTTATGAATGACATAAAATCCTGTTTTGTAGCATAACTACTCTGTATATCAAATATAAAATAAAACCTTAAAAGTGCAGTGTACATTCTAATAGCAGAGCTTGTTTCTGTATGAGAAATGGAAAGACTCTGATCAAAGAATATTTTAATTAAGATTGGTGATATCTGGAATAAATCAATGTAATACTCATGTATACAAACTAATTTCCTCTTCAAATCATGTGCATTATATGATAAAAATACCAAGTCATTTGACTTCACTGATCCCAAAATGTAACCTTAAAAGAGAATTATTTATTCTCAGTTTGTCTCTACTTGTTGAAAATGTCTTTTCTTATCTCATTTATAGGATTATTTGGAAATGAATTCATTATATAAATATATCAGCTATATGTAGTTATGTAGTGACAAGGAATTAAATTCCAAGTTAATGGCATTAAAATTAGAGAGGATGTGTGTGTATGTAATTTTTGATAGGTATGAAAACACTGACTCTTTTATTGCCAAAATTACCTTCCTTAGGACAGAGCATTTTGCTATTAAAAATATCAAACATGTATTGAACATTTAGTGTACCAGACATTGTAATAAGTGTTTTACATAAACTTTCTAATTTAACCTCTTTCTTTTATCTAATTAGACTATCCTGTTCTGACAATCCATTTTACAGATTTATGAAACCAAGGTTTAGAAAAGTAAAATAACTTCTTTAAGTCACATATTTTGGTAGTTCTAGAATTTGAACCCACATACGTATGATTTTAGAGCCTATCATTTTAGTCATGATGATACATATACTGCCACTATTTTTAGTCTCAGCTATTTCTCATTAACAGAAGAAATTGACTGCTGACAGGGATCATACTTGTGTAAATATTTGTTAATGACCAAGATTTGCGAGTATGGTTTTCAAGGCTGACATTGTTAGCAGCCACATGTTTCTTGCTTTTCAATGTTAAATTAAATATCTTGAATGTGCAAATTTTAGGACTCTGGAGTCAGAACACATTTTTATGCCAGCCTAAACAGAAAACGCTTAATTCATTTTCAAAAAGGGATGAAAGGGAATAAATGTAATGGGCACCTACTGTCTCCCACAGGTTCCCATGGCAGCATAGCAGGCTCAAGAGCCATCAGACAGTGAGAAAAAAAGAGACACAGAATGGGAGGTGCTGGATCTCTTACATGGAATCACATCAGAGAGAAAGCAGGAGCTGAGGCAGTGTGATGTCTGGGAATCGAAGCAGAGGGACAGATCAGGAGAGAGTTGGGTAGGCTTCCACAGCACATTCCAGCCTCCTCATTTCTCATCTCCCTGACTTGACTTTAATGATCTCGGGACACACTTGCCCTCTGTCTTACACTTGCTACCCTCTTTCATCAATTTATTTCATTGTCTCTTTTCTGACTTTCTTCCCTACTAACTTCATACATATGGAGACACTCTTGAAAGACCCTACGCACACAAGTGCACACATTCTTCCATTTAATCTCAGCACACCTTCTCATTGTATTCTGTTACACAAACTGAGGAAATCCCCAGCACAGTGTTAACATATCACTATTTAAAAAAGAATAAAATAGTTCAGATATTTTAGAGGCCATAGATTTATAGCGATTATATGTAGACAAAGCTAAATAAACCTCATGTTGCAAATTATTTGTATTGATAAACAATGAATATGTTTCTATAGATCAGTAAGCAAATATACACACACATACACACATGGTTCTAAACAGGTCCTGTAATTGATAAACTGATCTTTTAAATGCCGATCAAAATATGTAATCTACAGTTTTCAGCTTTGCTCAGTCTTTCTCTGACTACTCTGCTAGTTTATAAAGGCCAAAGCTGACTGATGAAAAGATTTTGCATCTTTCAGTTCCTAGGTCAGCTCAGAGGGCTCACCTCCACAAAATTCCTTATTAGTCACTTGCATGTTTTGCTTTACTTTGCTTGATGTGTTAAATATTGCTCAATAAATCAAGGGCTAAATTAGCTAACTACATTAACAGAAAGGTATTTATTTAATACTTGTGGAATTGTGTGCCCATCATTCATTTCTTCTTTCATTTGTACAGTCTTTCATATACTCTTGATTCTCTCATTTAAAAAAATATTAAATAGTAGCATAATATTGGACACTTTGTCATTTCCACTCTTGAGGAACTTATATTCTTGTTCATTATTTTCCTGAGTAGTCTAGTTATAATAACCACATGGGGCATTAGCTAAAGATAAAGGTTTTCTTGCCTATCCTTCAGAGAGTCTGAGATGGGACCAGATAATCCTTATGCTTGAATATATTTGTGACACAATGTGGTATGGTGATAAATGATTTGTTGCCCAAGTTAATGGAGGTTGTGGTGTTTTAAAAATGGGTGTGTAAAAGAACTCCTGTATCAAAACTCATTTGAATTACTACTTTTCTGTTTTTAATAGAATCAATCTAAAAACTATACTACAATGATGATTTAAGCATACATGGGAAATCATAATTTGTGGGTTGTGATATCTATATAATTATGATGGGAAAATAAACACTTCGGTGCAGCAAAGGGGGCTAAAGTATTAACTACTTAATTCACTGGACAGAGTGTTTGGGATAATATCTTGAATGGCAGTAGAAAAAGGATAATATATGTATCTTCAATATATTTTTAATATTATCTTCAGTAATGTGAACTAACATTATCAATATTGTTCTAAAATACCCTAACATTATTAAATTTGGCATGGAACAAAATCAATATTTTTTCAAAAATATAGAATTCAAGACACTTTCCTAAGCGTACTAAATCACATTCTCTGGTGATAGAGAGTAGAAATGAGTATTTTTAAACAGAGATTTTTGGTGCCCTCACCACACCCCTACTCCCACTCTTAGTTAAAAATCAATGTTCTCATTGGGTAGTAAGGCACAGCAGTCCAGGGCAGGGCAGGGCAGTGAAGTCCTCACTGACTGAACAAAACAATATTGAATTATGAGAAAATGAGAATAGCTATTACTTTCTATACCAGTCATAATTCATATTCATTTTCATAGTATTGATGGAAAGAGATAACAGATGGCCTCATCACCATGAGTAAACGTTGTATGATCCACCCTCTGGGAGGAAAGCTCTGGTCATGTAAAACAATGACTAATTAATACATTTTATAGCACATTTTTTAATGTGTTAAGATGTGTAGTCTTCAAACAGATAACTTTTCTTAGCTGAGTCATACACTCATACTAGGTATAGTTAATGTTATAATTAGTTTTGCCTCCCCCGCCCAGGATCTACCATCTGAAAACACAAAAAGCAATTTTGGAGATAGCCAAATACAGTATTTTTTACAATGCTATAAACCTTTTGCCAAATTGTAGAAGAACATTTTACCTTTTTAAGAAAAATATAAATATAACTCTAATCACGTATCACTATATGACCCTCAGAGGAAAGCTTCAACATACAGTCCAAGATATTTTCTTTTTAATGGAATGTACAAATAAGATAAAATGGTATTTATTTTGATAAATTTATAAAAACCAACTGTGAAATATTTTTCTTCCACATAATTTACAATGTGGATATTTCAGTTGACATAATCATTATAAGTCTTAGTGTTGTTGAGACAGTTAAGTACAGTATTCTATATATTTTGTAAGTATGTGACACACAGTCTGTCTGTATGTTAGCACCCCAGAAAATGAGGAAATTAGAAAAGATGATATCAAGAACTTTTCTAGTTTGAGAAACAAAAATTTAAACAACGTCTATAGCCACATTATGAAAGGTCGAGAAATGACAGACGACAGACAGACAGGTATATGGATCTATAATCCATGGCTGTGGCTGAGGTGGCTTGGCATAGTACCATTAGATAGAGCTGTTAAACAAATGAAATTTACTTTCCATATTCTTCTTGAATGCCAGTCAGTTGGATGTTTTTAATCATATGTGAATTTTGAGAGTCCTTCTAAAACCATTACTAGAATGTGAGAGGTTAATCCCACCTCCTGACCTCATAGAGCTGTGGGCCAGACCTTTGGAATTCTAAAAGGCAGTGAGGCTTCCTTTTTTCTGATTTAGTTTCACAGACTCCTGGGACATCAATTTTTAAAGGCCCAGTCAACAGATTACAGAAATCATTCAAGTTAAAATTTTATTAGGAAAAAAATACTTCACAAATACCCTTTTCTGTAAAAATATAAACTTAAAATATATTTAGCAGAAGGTGTGGAGTAAAGAATTCAAAAGATTTTTGCAATGTGAATGTGCAGCCCTATGATTAAATAGTTTTTCTAGTGGTTCTGTCAAATAATTAGTATCAATTACTATTTCCAAAGGCACCAAAATACATTATAGATAATTGGCCAGAGCTCTTATAGAAAATGAGTATTGGGGAGATAACTATTGACAATAAATACAAGCACACTAAACAACGAGAAAATTTTCCATTAACTTCAATTAATAAAAAATAAGTTATGATATGTGTTGCACTCCAGCCTATTTATTTCTGAAGAGGTTACTAACTTATGTCAAATGTTCTTAGAATCTTTACCTTAAAATTAAACATATAAGGTTTATTTTCGACCTCAAAATTGCACTGTAGAAGTTATATCTTGATGTAAGGAAAAACTGGTTCTTGTTGTATGAGATTTCTTGTCATTTACACAGAAAATATTTCCAGCCCCATCATTTGGGCCACATCCCTTCATTTTCCATCCATTCCTGTGATCCCCTGGAGTCACAATGTCTAAAATCACAGTGAAATCACAATATCTGAAGGGGTTAGTTCACTGAGTGGTAGCTGCTCTTACAGTCTTGCCAGGATCAGAGTCACAGGGTGGTGGAACAAACCACTTATGTGTGCTTTTCTTGGTAAGTAAAGACATATGTTAAGCTAGAATTTGTATGTGTGTTTTGGTTTTTCTCTGATTGTGGTGAAGGATGGTGCAGTGTTCTCTTTGCATTTGTAAGGCAGTTGGTTGGAGTCAGGGTTTTGGTTTGTGCTTCTTGATCAAAATAAAGTAAAATAACCGCAATAAGCATCAAACACATAACCCTGGCACGTGATTGGACACAAACGTAATTGAGCTGACCTAGGCTCAGACAAAACCAGAAGACGGCTGAACCTAAAACTCCTGACAGTTTAGCAAATTAACCCAATCCTTACTTACACATTTCATTGGTTTGGAAATCTTTCAGTATTTATGACAATAGACTTCTCATGTCAAAAATTGAAGCTGGGAAGAGAAGTGAACCTCCTAAAATTTTACAAAAGTTATTTTATCTGTTATTGTATAACACATCCCAGTACTAAAGCACCTCAGAAGGATCCAATCAGCCAGTTCAGGAAGATTTGTTGAATTGATAGCAGTGAGCAGCTGTTAAATCACTGAGGTAGCCTGATCAATCTAGCAAAAATAATTATGGATGAGACACATAAAATATAGGAAAACGCAAATGGCAATACAGTGCAGTGACAGCAAGATTTTTAAAATATCTAGGCTTTCCAAGAGTGAGCACTAAATTTGGCCATGCCCAACTGCTACCTGTTCCTTCCCCAGTCTTCTCCACCAAATTAAGTAGCAGTGACATTCTTCCACTGAGCAAGAAGAAGGATTGAGCCATTCTTGACTCTTCTCTTTATCACACATCCAACTCTATTAGCAATTCTTTTAAATATATCTGAAATCCAACCAGTTTTAATTTTCTATCTACCACCAATTATTCCTCTCCTAGATTATTCCACCCTTAGCACCTGGTAGTCTATACTTAACACAGGAACTAGAATAACACCATTAACATATATCCCAGGTTAAGTTACACATTTATTCAAAATTCTGCGAAAGTTTGTCATTTTTTAAAGAATAACCTCAAATATTTCTCATGACTTAAAAGAGCCTGTGTAATCTTCCCTCCCACTGTCAGCCACTGATGTCTGATCTCATCCCCAACCACTCCTTCCATCCGTCACTGCTCCCCCATCTCACTGACTTCCTTGCTGTTCCTTGAGAAGCATCCTCCCACCTCAGGGCATTTCACTTACTGTCCTTTCGGCCCAAAACTCCTCCAAGATATGCTATGCCTTGATATCTTACTTTCTTTATGCCTCTGATTCAATGCTACCTTTTTTTAAGAACCCTTTGCTAATCACACTATTGAAAGCAGCAAGCACCCAACTCCCTATCCTGTTATCCTGCTTTATTTTACTTTATAACACTTAGCATTATCTGGTATACTACATATTACTTGCTTATTTGCTAATTTTCTGTCTCTCACCTTTAGAATTTTATCTTGTTTACTGTTATATTGCCAATGTTTGAAAAGTGCAAGGAACATAGAAAATTGAATAGCATTCATTGAATAAATGATCAAGTAAACAAATGAATAAAAGAAATTATGTGTAAATGACGGGATGAATTGATGGACTGCAATTCTTACTAGTATCCTAGGGTTTTTCATATTATATTATTTAACCCTCATAACAACCCATCAGAGTAGATAGTTTTAAACACATTTTACAGTTGAAGAAAAACTGGAGCTCAAAGAGATTAAATAAAATTTCCAATAGCAGTTAGTTGGCGTTTGTCATACATTTTGTTCATTCAATTCTTGATGTAAAATATAGTAGTCATTTACTGTCTGCCAGCCACTGAGATGAGTACGAGTTATGTAGTCTTTGCTCTTAAGGAGTTTAAAGTCTAGTAGGGTATACAAATAATGAATTAAATAGACAAGCACATACCTATATAATTATATATGGCAGTAAGTACCATAAAATAAATAAATTGCATGCTGAATGCTGAGATAACATTCTCAATGAGATTTCCTGGAAGCAAAAGTTAAGCAAAAAAACTAAAGGATGACAATAAAACAGCAAACAAAAGAAGGGGAAGGACTGATGGGGCTGATAAAAGCATTCCAAAGAAAATAATAGATCCAAATCTTAAGGATCAAAAAGGGTTTTATTTGTCAGAGGAACAGAAAGACTAATTTTGCCAGAGCACAATTATTTAGGAGAAGCAGGACACGGGACAGAGCTGGGGACACATCATGTAAGCCTATGTTAAAAAACTTGGATTTTATTCCAACAACAATGAATGGTTGTAGTCAGGGGCTTGAGGGGAGATTGTGTGTGCGACCTGATACTATGGCTGATTGCTTTTTCGAGAATGAATTTAAAAGGGATTAGGAGAGGTAATAGGAAACTCTTTTAAAGAGACATTTTTGTTAAGGCATGTGCATGCTTCTGAAAGTTCTACTAATTTTACTGAATTATATAATACAATATTTACTATCTTACAAGAATCATCTAGTACAGGGGTATTCTGGGTCTATTAAATGGTATGTATTTACTTTAAGTTTTTAAATAAATTTTCGGGAATGCTTTAAAAATCTTCACATATATGCAACAAGATGTTAACATCAAAGTTTCTGCCCACATACCAAGTTGCAACAAATGCTACATCCCAAAGTAGTCGTAAGAATTGCTGATGCTGCAGGTACCCCTGTTCTCCTCAATCATACAAGGGAGAGAGGTGGGGGTAACCACCTCTTATCTCAGGTTTAGCATGAGAGCCTCCATAGAGACCACACTGGGAGCTGACTATGCCTCCTCTGCAGTTGTGTGAATATGTGGGAGGAGGAAGGGAGGAAGGGTGTTGTTCTCATTATCTCCAGTAGTATCTCAGTATAACAGATTGGCTGCAGAGCTATTTGGATGGCAGCATGAAAGAGAGATGTGCTGCCTTGGAGTTGACCTGTAAAGCTATATTTTATTCAGCTAAAGCATATGCAAGAGTTTTTCATGGAAGCTTTTCACTTTACCTGATAACTGACAACATCCATAGAGATGTTATACATATTGTCTCCAAAACCATAGAGGAAGCATACTGCCTATGTCTCAAAACTTAGGGGGATAAAATGAAGCAAATTCTTCTTTGGTTGGCTTTTATTATCCCATATTATGGAACCCTGCATTTTTACTGTCTTTTCTCCTATCTGCTGGCCTATATATGTCTAAATAAGGCATCTAAGAGTATGTATTAATTCTTTCTTTCCAGGTTCTGTAAACATGATCGTGAAAATAATGTAAAACAGTGTTATATTCTGTGGCGTATAAAGATGATAATGGTCCTTAAAAACTATATGAGGTACACAGAAACAGAAAAATTGATGCTACCTGAGGAAAGTAACATTACTATTGATTATAAATCTATTTTTAAATTTACTATATTGTTAGAAAAGCAAATATCTGGTGATTTTTAATTATTACTCTTAACAATAAGAGACATCACTTCATGGGTTAGGGAACCAATGTAGAAATTCTTCCATTTGCAAAGATTATATATTCCAAGTATACATAAATTTCTAAAAGAAATGAACATGAATGTGTTTGTAGACCCGACAGCCCTACCATAAGTAACACTGGGCAAAACTCCATTAACAGCTAACCACTGAAATTTGATATATGGCTTTCACAGTCAATGTCTGGCTCCCCAGAAATCAGAAGTAACTCAAAGCCAAAATTCTGAGTGTTTTCCTTCTTCAATTCTAAGCTACCTAATAAAAAGCAATAGATAGATAGATACCTTTTAGGAATACTAATGGAAAGGTTATAGAACACAACTGTGATGTTATTTTGGTGTCCTTTACCCAGCCTCTTCATTTAAGGTACTCTTGCCATTTAAGTTGATTCAAGTCTTAGAATTGAGAACACTCAATGGGGTAGACCTACTGAAATCAGGAAGCCCTTTCTAGCCTACAGAGAGCATCCAGTAAAGTGTTCAAAAACAAAACCACTAAACAAACCTCATGTAGTTTCTCTAATTAGTGTGTTTTTCAAGGACAATATATAAAAAAATGTGTCTTCTGGGCCTCTTGTCATTAGTAGGGGGTGTTTGTATGGTTAAAATTGAGAAATTGATTCAATTATTTCAATTTCCTTAAAACTTTTATTTCTTCTACATCTTATTAAGGAATTTCTATTATTTCAATCTCATTTATTATTGATCACTATTGAATCCAGGTTTCAATAAATTGACCAAACATTTGGAACCATTCTCAGCTATTTAAGTTAGGTTATTGCATACAGAATGCCTGGACAGTGTAATTTAATATTTATTTCATAATGTTATAAAATTATTTTCTTAGCTTTTTGGTCTAGCATTCATTCATACACATGGTCTTCAATGTTTTTTCTAGTTAATTAAACAAATCTGAAATTATTTTGGTATGTAATCCTTCTCTTCTGAATTTGACATTATAATTTGTCCTCTATAGGTTGCTGGGATTTGGGTCTGGATATGTCTCTTAAAAATGGAGAAATGTAGCCTTTGTGATGGCACTTTCCTATAGTCCCAGCTACTTGAGAAGATGAGGCAGGAGGACCACTTGAGTCCAAGAGTTGAAGTCCAGCTGAGGGAATATAGTGAGACCCTGTCTTTAAAAAAAAAAAAAAATTATGAAAATAAAAAGAAAAAAGAAAAATGGTACAGGAATTAAACAAATAGTTTCACCTTGAACTTAACTTCTCACAAGTGAAAGCATGACCAGATCTTCAAGTCAAGTATCAAATGCTGCCTCAGTCAGTAGAAGAGTGTCCAATTTGGCAGGAGGTGGAAATTCAGAGTATTATGAAAATGGTTAATCCCCAGATAAATCCCATTTCAAGTTCCAATCAAAACTCTGTAGCATAAGAAATCTGGCAAGATATTAAATTCAATTAGCATTGCAAGTTAGCAACACATAGACTCAAACTTTGCATTTTGTTATTGGCTATCTCATTCCTGCCATTGAAATAAAGAGTTTTTATTTGTTTACATAGTCATAGAAATTCTGGATGTTTCAATCTGTACCATAATCTGAACATTTACATGTTTGAGCTTGCCTTTAACTTCTTTAAACTACAATTATGTGCAGTTTTTAATATTTACAAGACTTTCACATGGTTTTATGGCAACGGAAACTTACATCATTATCAGTCCAACAAGAACTTTCCTGTCTCACATATCTCTACTTTCCAACCCTGTAGAGGTCATAAAACACATTAACGAAATGTTTAGGAAGACTGTTCTTTCTCATGTGGCCAACTTCTAGTCTATGGGAAGCACATACAAAACTTTGTCTTTAAAATTCTGAGAATGTAGGCCACCCAAATCCAGCTACCTGTTTTTGGTTTGCCCATCAGAATCAAGTTAGATAACATTTTTTTTTGTCTTTGACACTTATTACCACTTCATTCTGCCACTTCTAATAACATAAGAGATTCTATTTAGGCTATCTGAGTAGTCTCATTGAATTGTTTCCTGAGGATTGACATGGTAACTAGGCTTATTCTTATATTCCCCTTTGAAAAAGGAGAACTCAAAACACATGTGAAGTTCTTAAAAACCTTCTTTACAAACTCTGACCCTTTAATATATTCAATAAAGTTGCATAGCTTACGGGCATCTAACGAGTTCTCACACGTAATCTTGGAAACTATCCCTTTATGTTTAGTATGTCACTTTGATGTCTTATCATTTTGGTCAAAATTTCTACTTTAATATCTGGTTATGTTAGGAAGATAATCCAGATGCTGGGCGGTTAACAAGACAAATTTCGACTATGGTAACTTTCCTCTAAATGTGCTCAGTTGTCAACTTTCCTTTTAAAGACTGACACAATATGTCAGTTGTGTTTTGAGCAGAGCAGAAGATGAAAAGAAGGCAACTGGCATTTACTGAGAATATGCCATATAAAAGGTATTCTGCTAGGTGCTTTCACATAAGAGAGGTAATGGATTTAGAAAAGAAAAAGTGTGAGGAAGTGGAGGAGGAGCTGATGTACTATTACTAGGAAAATATTTACATTGCTTTCATTCAGCGAGAAGATTACTAGCGAGTGAAGAAGTCTCCCATCCTCATTAAATATTGGCTTTTGTCACTACTCTTTTTTCCTTTTATTTTTAGTTGACATGTAATAATTGTACTTATTTTTGGGATATAGAGTGATATTTTCATGCATATATACAATGTGTAATGATCAAATCAGGGTAATTAGCATATCCATTACCTCAAATATTTATCATTTCTCTTCTGTTGTCAGTTTTGTGTTCTCTCTCCAGTTGAATTAACATTTTTTTCATACAGATGGGCAGGCTGTAATATAGATCCTTATGATTCAACTTTCAGTTCTCTCTTTAACTGTCTTTTCTTAGCTGACCCTCAGTATACTTCCAATCTTTAATCTCTGAATTAATTTGAGAAAATTCAATGAAAACACACACAAAATTATTAGGATAATTTCACATAAATGGACTCTTTCAAACTCTAAGAGTATGCCTTTCTTAATGTGTAAAAAAATACCAAACATTAGGTAAATTCCATTTTCACTGATGGAAAAAAGAAATTCTGATGCACATGCTCCTGTTTGAGCAGATTCTCCTGTTAATCAATGGGTCTTTCATTTTATGTATGAAATGTTCCCCAAAAATATACCTCAGATAATGTCTTCAAAAAGCATGGGAACAGACTATTTTTAAGGCACTGTAATTTTCACATATTTATATCATGGATAAATTTTACTCAATAACTTAAATACTTTTACTTATGTATCACTGTCTTTGGTTAGCTCTAATTTGAAGGGATTGGTTTTTTATCTACATTTGCTTTGGACACAGTTTTCAATCAGAAAATGAGTTATGATTGGCTTCCAAGAAAGGTGTTGTCCTGTATTCTACTAATTTTAGAAAGTACACAGGACCAGTCTCAGAATGGAGTATGTGCAAACACCATATTATTTACAGCAAACTAAATATAATGCCTTGATTTGGCACTGCCTGCTTGATATTTCTCTTGAAAACTGTTACATATGTTTGTTTTGAGTTTCTGCCAAAATAGCAAGATTGTTAAATATCTTTCATGTACTTCTTGTTAAATGCAAGGAAAGAATTATAGATTACCTTAGCTTAACTTTTATACAACAGTCCAATGGGCACTAAATCTTTTGGAAGAAAAAATAAATATTCAAATTATAAAGAAAAAATTACTATTGTAATCACAAATGTATTACGACTGTTAACATGCCAATATTCAGTTTAATACCTAAACCACCTCTACCCATAATAATGTGACTCATTTCTAAATTACATGTAGAATACAGTAAGATTGTAATTATGCGGGGGCTGATTATCTAGGTTGTCAATTATTCAAGGCTTTTGCCTCCCTTCTTCTTCTTCCTGCTGTCCACCTTTTGGACAGTTATCACCTTGTTAGTATTTCTACTCCTTGCTTGTTAGTGAGATTGGCAGGGGAAGGGAAAAGGTGTGAAAACTTAAATCAGTAGATATTATTACTTGCAAGAATTTTCCATAAAAATTGGTGTGGAAGAGTTCGAAGCTAATTGCTAAAATCACACTAGGGATATGTGTATTTCACTTATTCTTGTTTATCCAGTCCTCCATGTATCGGAGAGAGTTATAAGTAAGATGTAAGCTTTCAAGGGGCAGAAAATCATTTCTGATAGAACTTTCTAAGAAAAATATTGTAAACGGAAACTATCTGAAGAACCTTATATAAAATAACCAATCTTAATAATTCAAATTTTTGTGCTTCAGGCAATTATATTACCAAATATTATATTTGCTCCCCAATGGAACTGTTCAAACACATCATTAATTAAACATATACAAAATATACTTGATGTGGCTTTTTCTTTGGGAAAAATACAAATCTGAAAGTGAATGTTTCATATATTTATATTCTTCAGGTATTACAGCATATAATCTATAAGTTTAAATATTATGATCTCTTGTATTTAATTTTTTATTTCTCCTTTCAGCAAATCTGGGTATATTTGAAAGTATTTTCCAGTACATATTTTTAAACGATATAAAATTCACCTGAATTAGAACATATCCCTTTTTTCACTTTCTCTAAATCTGAAAACTTCATGTAAACATTAACTTTTCAATTATTCACTCATAAAATATTTATTGAACAGTAACTCTAAACACAATACACAGCAGACATTGGAGATAAAGTGGTAAGCAACCCAGACATTGCTTTGCCCTCACAATGCCCCCAGTCCAGCAAAGACAGATATTAGTCAAATAATCCCACAATCTCTTTTGCACTCACTATTCAAGGTGAACCCTACCAAAGAATGTAGAGAGCAGAAGGAATAATCAAAGTACTCAGGTTTACTAGACTCCTGCAATTTCCGGCCAACTAGTAGAGTCCTTGAGTGAGACTTTCCCTAGGTCCTCTATTACCACCCTGAAGCTGATAATTGGAACATATGAATCAATGTGGAGTTACAACAACATGATTTAGAATGATACATTTTGGAGACAGTGGGAAAACCAGTAGGCCTATAATATTCAGAAATCACCTATATACATGCTTGATTTTGTATATTTGTTTACAACCTGCCAGCGTTCTCTGTTTTCTCTTTTGTCTTTGGTGAGGATCCCCGTTAGTACTATTCTCAGTGATCTGTTTTTTTTTTGTTGTTGTTTGTTTTTCCTGCCAGTTTCCGAAATACCACTTTTTAAAATGCCTAAATTTGACTTGAATGTTCATATTATTATATTATTATGGGAATGGTTTATTGTTTTAAGCTTCCATGTCTTGCAATGGATAGGTTTTCTGTAGTGCAGTTGATAAAAATTTATCTTAGACTTCTATCACTAAAAAAGGGTTAAAAGAAAGCATTTATATGCACTTCGTGTTCCCTCTCCAATTGAATTAAACCTTTTCTTTAGCTGGGCAGTCTGTAATACAGACTTACAATTTAACTTTCAGTACTTTCTGAAAGTTACCTTTCTATTATATCTTATATGTCCAATTTATGGTTGATAATAAGCAAATCTTTTTAAAAAATACTTACTATTATGATGGGTAGTGAGTGATCCAGATGGTGTCATTCAAGATGGTGGAGACTTTGTCATATTGGATACTTGATGACAATCTCTGCCCTGACCTTCTTTGAATATGTAGCCTGAATGGGAAATAACTTTTTGTGTCTTAACTGAGAACCTGGTTTGTTTATTAATGCAGCCTAGCCTGGCCTATCCCACTATTATATTTTTTAAAATACCAGTTATCCCTATGATATGTCTACTTACTTCTAAAGTAGGATTAAAAAGAAAACTAATTCCCAATTATAATTATCAACAGACAGGCAGCTATAAGGTACTAACAACGGGGGAAGTGGCATTTTCTCTTGTGTGTTATTCCCATCTAAGTTGTTTACAGAAGGAAAACAAAATGTTATTAATAATAATTTTAATTAAATATTTTATGTAGTAAGAATTTCTATGTTATGTATGTACATGTATATTTAGAAAAAAAAAATTGAAGATTTTATTGAATAGAAGTCTTTCCTTGTAGACTACAGTAATTGAGCCCACCCATTACATTACTGTGGAGGGATAAGAAGATTTTGGTGGTTACAGTAGTCAGATGCACTTTCACATAGAGTTTAATCAAAATTAGGGTCATGATTAAAGCCATTGGAGTTATTAATTGAAATATTTTTCTAAAACATTAAATTTTTTAAAATATATTTTCAAGTGAAATAGAATGAGAACATTTGTGTCCTCTTGAGGTGATGACTCAGGCATAAAATGGAACACAAGGTGAATACTTACCATCTTGATAGTCAAAAGAGGTCCCGCTCTGTGCTTCTGAGACAACGACGGACTTGCCCATTTGAATCATGTTTATGACACATTTTTCCTTATCTGGACATACCTATGCCAGAATATGTTCAGTCTACACTTCTGGAACTTGATCAATCTCTTCCTTACATTTGTCAGGAACTCTCTAATTGCTGATTAGGAACATGCAAAATTTCTATTATGTACACTGACAATATTCTGTTTAATTAGCGAGGTCCTCTGGGAGTCTATTTCCTCTAGTTAAGACACTGAGTATGCTGACACCCTAAGCCCAAATGACAAAAAGCAGCAGCCTCTAGCTTGTCTCATGCCAAAGCAAGTAGTCACTGCACCCGGCAAGTTGACATATCTATGGTTCTTACTATCCATGACTATTTTATGGATTTATGCTACAGCAAGGACCAGTTTTTCATCAGGGATTAATTCCATTGATGTTAAATTACATGATTATGCTTTTAAAAATGACACATTAACCAGGCGCGGTGGCTCACGCCTGTATCCCAGCACTTTGGGAGGCCGAGATGGGTGGATCGTGAGGTCAGGAGTTCGAGACCAGCCTGGCCAACATAGTGAAACCACATCTCTACTAAAAATACAAAAAAATTAGCCAGATGTGGTGGCAGGCCCCAATAATCCCAGCTACTCGGGAGGCTGAGGCAAGATAATCTCTTGAACCTGGGAGGCAGAGGTTGCAGTGAGCCGAGATCTCACCACCGCACTCAAGCCCGGGTGACAGAGGGAGACTCCGTCTCAAGAAAAAAAAAAAAAGACACACCACATTTCAAAAGATTGATACATGCTGTGAACACTTTTGCTGACTACAAAGTTAAAGAGAACAACGTTCACAGACTGCACACTCACTTTTGACACTAACTGTGAGAGTGCTGGCTACTGTATAGTTAGAGAAAAAAATCCACACAAGATCCTTCTCTCTTCCAACATCAATTGGAGGATTGGAAATTTCCCAAACCACCCTGTTTTGGTCAGTCACTAGAAGGACTCTCCGAACTCATTGAAAGCTATTATAGTCATAGTTGTGGTTTATTACATGAAAAGATACTGATTAAATCAGCCAAGAGAAGAGGTGCATAGAGTGGAGTACAGAAAATACTAAATACATTGTCCTCTCCCCAACAAATCAAAATACATTACTTTCTGAGCATCAGTATATGACAGTGCACACAAAGTACTGTCAAGAAGGAAGCTCACCTGAACCTCAGTGCATGGAGTTTTTATTGGAAGTCCATTATACAAGCATGATTCATTAATAGATTGCCCGTATGGTTGATCTCAGTCCTCAGGTCAACTGATCCTATGTGGCACAAAGCTTCTATCTGAAGTCATACTGTTATTTTTTGGCTAGCTTGAGGCCCCCAGGCAAACCAAGATTACTGATCAGGAACTGAGGGCAAAGGCCAGATCTCATTTGGTGCAAGATTAAATTCTTTCCTACACATACGTACAGTTTACGATTTTGCAACTAATCTTTAAAGGATGATTCTGTGTCTTTTATTTGTTTTTTATCTAATATTTATACATTTTTATCTTAAAAAGGAAGCTGTTTCTAAGATATTTCTAAAAATTCTTAATCCATCTTTAAAATCTGTATTATAAAGATATTAACACTTTTTCCTGTATAATTCCCATTATGACTATTTCTAAAACTAAATACTGACCAACTGTTGCTGTCACTAGCAACTTGGCAGTAATTCTGACTTAAACTGCCATGTGAGTTGTGTGTGTGTGTCTGTGTGTGTGTGTATGTGTTTGTCTTTATGTTGTCAATGTAAGATATCTTCTGGTAATTCTACCAGGTTATGGAAGTCAGTTGATCAAATAATGGGAACTATAAGCAAGTTATTGAATTGGGTCACATGAATTTAATTGTAGGCATACTAATTGGTATGAAGAATCTTAATTTTGTTTTTATTAAACATAATCAAATTATATTTAAGTAGATAAGTATAGGTCATATATTTAGCAAACAAATCTATTTATTGATAGTATGCATACCCTTTAACCCATAATTTTTTAAAACTAAATTTCTTATGCAGTCTAGCAGTATGCACTTAATAAACAGCCGTGTTTTGAACATATATTTAAAGGCCTTAATAATTACACTGTTAAAAATTATTGGCTATTGTTCACATTTTTATATACATCATACTGTCTGTTTCTTGAATTAATCCAAAGTCTTTATGTAAAGGACACCAAATGAGAAATTTTGCAAAATGACTATATGCACATACAGTTAAGATTCAGAAGATAGCAGACATGTAAGGGAATCATGTTTCCATATCCTTCAAACACTGAGCTTCTTAATCTAAGCTAATGAATTGGACACACAAGTAAGAAAAATCAAGAGAGTTATTTTAGCTTAACTAAAAAAAATCCCAGAATATCTATGCTATTTACAAGGTCTATTCCCCTAGTATCTGGGCATAATTCAAAGAAATGGGTGGGTATATTATTAGTCTTACCAGACAGGTAAGAAGTAACCTTTGAATTTCTAGTGAAATTTTAAGAAAAATATATGATTTTTCACATTCATTATTTAGCAGATAAATAAGGATACTTCCTTATTATGCTAGGATGCTGACACAGAAAACAGACCAAAATGAAACTCTTTTTTTTTTTTTAAGTAAGTGAGAAATTGTAGCATTACCTTTCCCTTCTCTCTCTCTCCTTTCTTTCTTTTTCTACCTATCTTGTTTTTTCCTTTGTAATATAACAATGTGTCACTCACATGTTCTGAAGTCCTTCAATGTAAAAGATGCATGTCCCTCCTTCTACTCCTGATCATTATCCCCATCCCATTACATTTCATTAATTTAAATTTTATTTAGCTCCTCTATTTCTGAGTATATTATTATGCTTTTCTTTGCATTTTATAATTAGAAAACTATATGATTGCTGATATCTATATCTATATTGATATATATTGATATAAATATATATAGATTTTTTTTTTGAGACAAGGTCTCATTCTGTCACCCAGGCTGGAGTGCAGTGGCGTGATCAAGGCTCACTGTAGCCTCCACTGACTAAGTTCAACCAATCTTCCCACTTCAGGCTCCCTACTACCCGGGCCCACAGGCATGTGCTACCATGCCCAGCTAACTTTTTTATTATTTGTAGAGATCGGGTCTTGATATAATGCCCAGGTGAGTCTTGAACTCCTGGCCCAAAACAATACTCCTGCCTTGGCCTCTCAAAGTGCAAGGATTACAGGCCTGAGCCACCAGGCCTGGCTGGTGAAATATCTTTTTTTGTTGAAAGGATAATGGAAAAGCATTTCATATTTTAAAAGCACTAGGGTTGTTAGTGAATATAAAGTTACTAATTTTATATCAGCAAAGATAGAAAATTGTGCTTAAATTCAATTTAACTATACATTTGTAATGGAATTGGTATACTACATTGTAATGGATGCCAAGCAACAAAATATAAGATATTATTAGAACACTGCTGTAAAAATTAAAACTATTATAGAGTATTAATTTGCGTTGGGCATTTGTAAAACATTAGAAATCTCCAGAGCAGCTGAGCTATATTTTCGCATTCTATACTTTCCCAATATAGAGTCATAGAGGTAGTTATAAAAGAGGGAAAAATTAGGTTTTAAAAGTACTACTACATGTTTTAGAGTTTTTGATTATGCTAATGTACTTTGAAATGGAGAGGATGCTTCAGGGATTTAGGATATAGTGGTTTCCTTAGCTTATTTGGCTATGTAACCTATGTTCCTGGGAAACTTGAAAGTTACTTTGTGAATCAACCAAGTAATTTACCATTGTCTAATTCTAATGGCCTAGAAAGCATTTTATCATTTCATCTGTTAAACAGAATGATTTTAGGGCCTCCCTTCTGGATCTAAATGACTTAGCTCCTACAAAAACAATTCCCTAGTAGTGAAGAAAATGTTAATATTATGGGAAATCAATTATCATTGTACTTATATGTCAATGGTGATGTATTTTTGTTCTATGAGTAACATTAATTGAAGATATGGGTATAACTGAACTCATGAAAGAAAAAGGATCTTTTCAGAAGGCAGCAGCATAAAAAAATAACTTGAGTACTAACATCTACAGAATTGTTGAAATTAGCAATGAAGGAAAGAGACCACAAGATATGCAAAACTGAACTAATTTTCAGAAGAGCAATAAATGTCCTTATATCTTATCTGAATTGTACTTGAAGTATAAGAAAAAGCAACCAGGCTTTCTCAGGTTAGTCAGCATTACGAAGATAAGACAGGAATTATAAAGAACACAGTAAGTATAAACAATAAACTGTTGTGTCATGATTTAAAAGCAAATGTATAGCATTTAACTTATTACCTTATTGAAGTTATATATACTTTTACATATTCAGTTTAAATTTAGAAAGCTGCTTCATGCTAAATTGTTATGCAATTTATAGCTGATAAAATATGTTTTTAAGTGTTAAAATTTGGACCTCAGCCCCTAGTGTTATTTATTTGTAATATAAATCAACATGATTTTTATCACTTTGGCTTACATTATTTTTTTCAAGCATTATAACCCACCATTAGGTATGAGAGCTGTAGTCAACCTGTGAAAAACTAACACTGATGAAATGAAAAGAAAAATAATGGACATAGAGAGAATTTGTTTTAATTTGAGCAGGGCCTCTTTCCAATGTTTATTCAGGAAAACATTAGGAAAAAAAAAAGCAATGTTTGAAATGTCTTAAACACAAGAAGATTAGGCTTTCAGTGGCAATTGTTATCTGCGTGTGGGCTGCAACAATTAGGCATTGATTTCTGCTATTTCTGAAATTGCATTGCAGCTATCTCCTTCTCTTTTTTTTATTTCGAAAGACAGATGTTAACTTAGCTTTAAAGAAATCACCCTATTTCCAAGTGCTGTACACTGCCTTTGTTACTAAGCATTCCCAAGTGATTATAAATAATTTTAAGTTATGTTTTAGTCTATTTGAGGCTCTGGGACTAAAATGTCAAATTAGAAAGAGAAATATGGGCCAAGTATCTTCCCTTGTGTCTTCTCCAATAAAGTACCCTAAAATTGAGGATCCTCAAATGTTTGAGTCAGAATCCAAAAAGCTTGAGCAAAGACACTGAAATTTTATCAATGCTGATTGACATTTTTCACATATTGAAGGCAGTATCAAGATATCCCATGAAGAAAATAAGTATATAATCTTGTACATGCAAAATACCAACATAAGCATTCCAGTAACTTTATTATTGCAATAGGTGATTGACACAGTTGGTATAAATAGTGAGTGAGTATGTAGGCAAAGGAAGAGTTGATTTGATTGACAACCTCCAGGCTTGAAGCATTTTACAACTATGCATCTGGTGTTGCAATAACTTTGTGAAAGGAAAGACACACAGGAAATCACTTCTCTCAGGTTAAGTTTATAGCCTTAACATTTTGAGTTTTATTAAATACTTTATGCTATGGTTTAATATCTGTCCCCTCCAAAACTCATGTGAAATTTAACCCCCAATGTGGCAGTATTGAGAAGTGAGGCCTTTTAAGAGGTGATTGAGTCATGAGGGTTCTGCCCTCAAGAGTGAATTAATTCATTCATAGATTAATAGATTGATGGATTAATTGGTTAATGGATTAGTGAGTTATCATGGGATTGGGACTGGAAGTTTTATAAGAAGAGGAACAGAGACCTGAGCTTCCATGCTCAAGCCTCTCGTCATGTGATACTCTGTGCTACCTGGCTATTCTGCAGAGTCCCGACCAGCAAGAAGACTTTCACCAGATGTGACCTCCTGATGTTGAACTTCTCAGTCTCCATAACTGTAAGAAATAAATGGCTTTTATGTGTAAATAACTCTTTTCCAGGTATTCTGTTATAAGCAACAGAAAATGACTAAGACACTTTAAAAATATAATTTTAAAAAATATATACAAATCCATTTTGTGTACTTCCAATTTATGGAAGTTTGGCCATTGAAGTATATAGGTATTAAATATACAAATATTATGTGTGTGTTTGTGCCCATATGTCTATATTCATATGTAGGTACACATGCATGTATTCATCACCATCTAACTAGCATCTATCTACATTTTCTTGCTTCTCTTCTAGTTAGTTCTGATCTTCTCACTATGTTTAGTCAATACAAGTGTGGTAGAAATGTTTGTTGTATTTCTGTTTCTTCAAAAGAAAGATGTTACAATCTTCTGTCTCCTTTCTCCATGGTTGTACTTGGAACACAGCATGAATTTAGGACTTCTTTCAGTAGTCATTCTGTGCCATATGGATATAAACCAATGACTTAGAGGGAAGGTCCTCAGAATGCCTTCAGGCTGGGAGGCATATAGGAAGCAGTCAGTTTTTACAGGAATTGTGTGAATCTCTAGAGTGGGCTGAAAGGACAGGCCAGGACACTGACAGGGACTTAGGTCTCTGATGTTTTGTGAATTACCAAATGTGGCCTGGACTGTCTACCTGTAGATTTAATTTACATTAAAGAGAAACAAATTCTGATCTTTTTAAAGGAATTATCTTAATGTTTCAAACACTAAATTGTTGGATCCTTAGGCTTCTTTTTACACCTTCTTTACAGAAAAAAAGGAAGAAAAGAGTCCTTTTATTTTAGAGATGCATACTAATTCATGAAATGATATAAAGTTGAGTATTTTCTCAAGGAAAATTTAGTGTGAATGCTGAGTATGTAGTAGTGAAGGAGATATGGAAGGATGAAGTAAGATTGGTGTGTATTGATTCTTGGAGCTGGGGGATATGTATGTAAGGGATATGAAGGTCCTTCATACTGTTTTTTCTACATGTTTGAAAGTTTCAATAATAAAAACTGAGAGGATGTACTGAAAACATCCAGAAATGGGGCATGTTTGGGGAGAAAGGAAGGGGAAGATAAAAAGAGAAGGCAACAAACACAACACAGAGAGAGAGAGAGAGAGAGAGAGAGAATGAATGCCAGAAGACACAGGCAGAGAGAAGTAGAAATAAAAATGGAATACAAATTGCATCAGACTTTTCAAAAGTAACCTTATTGATAGTTTACTGTGAAGAAATTCCTTTAAAATTATGAAAGAAATGTAACTCAGAATTTTATATTTGGTTGTCAAACAAATGTAAGAATAGAATTGAGGCTTACTTTTAAAAAAAAAACAAGGTCCTCTTTTTCTTGGCAAGTATTGGAGAATCTTCTTTTGAAAATGAAAAGTAAACCAAGGGAAAGACATCAGATTCAAGAAACAGAGGAGCCAACATAGAGCAAGAAAAAGGCAGTATGAAGATGACAGCGATGGTCTGCATCTAAAATTCAACCAGGCCAGATTAGATGTCAAAGCAAGTGGGAGACTATGAAGCGGGAAAAACATAACTGATAGATTAGCTAATATCAATATCAATATCGATATCAAATTGAGCTTTCAAAAAGTATTTGTGGTCATTGAAAAATCTGCTGGAGCATTTTTTTAAAATAGTAAAATATTTAGAACATTAAGTAAAATTGAGGTAGAAAAATAGGGTCTGGAGGCAGGGAACATAAGGCCAATTCATACTTCAGCTATAGCAGGAAATATCCTCTCCATAGGATGTTTGCCATAAATGACTTTATAACTTTACTTCATCCTCTCCATTTACATAAGGCATACCCAAGAAACAAATGGAATCCTCCAGCGGGTATCTAAACTCCCAAAAAATCTGAAACAGGGCCTTTGATCACCTATGCTCAGGCCCACTCTCAAACTGTGGAGTGTACTTTCATTTTCAATAAAACCCTTTGTTCCTTCCTTGTTTTGTTTGTGCATTTTGTCCTGTTCTTCAAGATGCCAAGAACATGGACACCTTCTACCAGTGACATATTTTGGTGAGCCAGCCAGGAGGAAGAGGTAAGCCCAAAATTTGGGATTTATTTTTCTCCCTTTCTGCTCCATACAGTGGCTCTATCTCTCTCTTTTCCTTTCCAACTTGGGACCTGTTAAATACAGTAAGAAGTTCTTCTTCAAAGGTTTAGCTAGTTTAGTTTCCTTGTTCTTTTTTCTCTACTTTCAAGGCCAAACTTCCTTGCTCTCTGTGCCTCCCTGTCTTGGTTTCAGTAAACAACTCTCCCCCTCTGGTCTTTATCTACAGAGCCCATATCTGCTACTCACTCTGTAAATTACCCCTCCCTTCACAACACCTCTTCCCGCCAAACCTGTCCTTCCTGCCAGTGTAACCACATTCCTGCACTTTTCAAGTTAGCCAACTGGGTTCAGCTTAGATTGTGCAGTCCAACTCCAACCAGTGGAGGCAGGACACAGTAGCAGGGACAAGCCACATTAGGGATAAAAATCCCTTCCCTCCTTTGTTTGGGATGCTATCATGGCGACCAGACCTGTGAGATGCACCCTTCTGCAGAAGTAAATTTGCCTTGCTGAGAAATCCTTTGTTTAAGTGCTTGTTTTCTTTGTGACTCTGAGCTTTACTTCCAGCAGGACGCTTGGTGGGCAGCACCTAAACATGGAAGCAACTGCAGGTTTCTGGCCATGGCCAGTGAAAGTAAGGTGTTTCCATGTGGACAAGCCTGACCACCACCACCCAGTTCACTTAAGGGACCAGGGTGTTTTTCATTTTTATTTTCTTCTATTTCTTTTTCAGTCTTTCAGCAGCCGTTTATTAGTAGCTCCTTGGAAACTGAGGGCAATTGGCTGGGGTCACTTCCTGGTACTGCCTGAAGGTTTAGGAATGAAATGGAATAATTGCCCCCCCAAAGGGAGAAGGGTCTTTTTTTTTTCAATCTTTTCTACTTGCACAAGGTCCCTGATCCTTAAGTGTGGTGCAACTCAGAGCAAACTCTCACATGTTTCAGGCAACTTAAACCTTCTTTTCATATGCTAAATTCTTCCCTTATTGTACTCAACTGGCTAAGGTATAAAAGGCCAACCTGGCATCCAGTTCACATTACAGTTCATGGCTGTTCTTATAAAGCTCATAGTATGTTCTGGAGGGAAAACCCTGCATGTGGTGCCCACCTAAAGCCAGAGACATCTGGAACTCTAAGATTGAACCCCACAAGAGGATGCTCTGTGGGTTCTGTGGACCCCAACCACTCCAAAGAGGATGCTCTTGGCAGAGTTTCTGAGGTCTAATATTAAGCTCTCCTTAGAATTTTATATTGCAGTTGCAATGCTGCTTGGCCCCAACATTGTTTGAAATCTGGAGTTCACTCTTGAATGGGAAAGTGGACTGGCTTTGCATGTACCCAGGCTTTCATGCTGCATTTCTAAGCAGGGGGCCTGGTTGACATGTGATGTCCTCCTTTGGTACTGTTTGGCCCCAGGTCTCTTTAGAGTCTGGGGAGGTTTGGCCTTTAAAAATCAAACTGCCATGGAGACTGCTTTACCAGAAATTTTGGTTCTCAGCTTTCACTGGATTGTCTACTGGCACAAAGCAAAGCCGGCAAGCTTGTATTGCTATCTCATGGCTAACGTTCCAAGCTATTGGATCTTCATTTATGTGTGATTGTACATGTCTAGATGTGTTTATTTGTATGTACACTTATTGTTATATGTTGTATCTACCAAATTGGCTTATAAGTAAAAGAGAACTCATAAATTAAGTAAATAAGTCTAAGCAATTTTCAAGTTCACATGACTTAAAGTATAACCACTAAACAAGCTACCTTTAAAATTATTGGTAGAATAAAAATAGAAATGCCTTCAGAATTGTAAGCATGCATTTTTTCTAAATTTTATGTTTGTTTTTGCTAGATATTTTTAAATGTCAGTGTTAATTCAAGCTGGGAGCTGCTTGGGGCTAGCCTGCCCCCCATTCTATCCAAAGTCTCACTGAGATATATGCGTATCTGATTGCTTCCTTTAGAAAGGCTAATCAGAAACTCAAAAGAAGGCAAACTCAAAAGAAGGTGTCCCACCTGTGATCTGAAAGCCCCCAAAGCCTCCTGGCCTGGAGTTTTCCCTTGTTTCTGGACCAAACCAATGTTCATTTTATATATGTTGATTGATGTCTCAAGTTTCCCTTGTTAAAAAATTGGCTGGGCACGGTGGCTCACACCTTAATCCCAGCACTTTGGGAGGCTGAGGCCGGCAGATCACTTGAGTTCAGGAGTTTGTGACCAGCCAACAAGGTGAAACTCCGTCTCTACTAAAAATACAAAAAGCAAATTAGCTGAACATGGTGTTGGGCGCTTATAAGTAATCCCAGCTACTTGGGAGGCTGAGGTAGGAGAATCACTTGAACCCAGGAGGCAGATGTTGCAGTGAGCTGAGATCACGCCACTGCACTCCATCCTGAACAACAGAGTGAGACTCTGTCTCAAAAAAAAAAAAAAAAAAAGTAAAAAATTAAGTACAATGAATAGGACAATTGTTCTGGGTAAACTTTTTGTGTAAGTTGTCATTTCCAATTAAGCAAGGGTTGTAATACAGGGAAGTGTGTTTCTAAAATTGTGAAATTGTTCTTATCTATAAATGCCCATATCTGATAGTTCAGTATTTCTTGCTTTTTAGGGTTTTACTAAAGTTCTAGGTTTCTAGGTAACATGTAATTCTGTATACAAAATGTTCCACAAAGGGTTATGTTACTGGTGAAAAAAAAAAAGAAAAATTTTGTCTAATTCAGAAGTTGTCTAAAAGTTAGTTCAAATTACAGATTTGAAAAGGTTATTTATGCAACAATGTAGTAAGGAACCATTAAGTAGGGGAGAAAGATGTGGAAAAGCTTAATAATAAAATATTCTTTAAAACCTGATAGAGAATTGAAAACATTTGGCTAATTAACATTTTCATAGTTAAACCTCTTAGTCTTGATTAAAGTAAAAAGTATTGTAAAAATGCTTTGGGAGTTTGGCAATTCTTTTTAAAATATAGTTAAACATGAAGCTGAATTTAGTGTGGAACCAAATTTCACATACAATGCTTGCATTGTTTCACATGGTGTTTACTGTTATGCATGGATAGTACTGGAGTACTTATTGGTCATGTGTCTAAAGTGGATTTCTTGATTGCACAGAATGTATAATGATATTGGTCAACTTAAGGATATTGAATTGTGTATCAGGAATAAAATATTCAGTATGTGGGTTTTCTAGGGCCCTAGGTAACACTGTAGCCTCCAGGGTAAATTGAGTAGGAAAATTTAGGGTTGGTTTTTTGTTCATTTGTTCCTGCTTCTAATTTTCATTTGTTTGCTGTTTATTCTCCTCTAGCTTTGCTTGTTTATCCATATATTTGAAACCATGATGCTTTTTAGTTTCTAGTGGGAGGCTTTTATTTGGTTCTGTGAATAGTTATTTTGTTTCCTGTGCATTTCTAGCAAGTCATCATTCATTCCATTTATTTGGAATTCCTAAGCTACCCTTGTCAGGCTGCAGAATTAATGGAACACACTAGTTTTTTTATCCTTAAACTAACTTTTTGGATTTTAGGCTTCCAGATACTTTAAGTGTGTTGAGTATACTCTTACAAATAAATTTCGAGTCATATTTGTCTCTCTGCCTAGTTTTCTCCAAAATTTATAAACCTTCTATGAATATTCTGAATTAATGGCAAAGTGTCTGTTTGCATACAGTCAAGTAGAGTTACCACAGCTGCTCAGGGAGAGAGAACCCAGAAACCTGACATGCCGGCAAAAGGGTAAGAATTTCTTACCAGTCAATCTCTGGCCTCTTTCTCTCTGTGCAAACTGTTAATCTCCTCTGTAAAGTTTTAAAGTAATTGCTTTAATAATAATAAGAGTTTAAATCAAATATTTTGTCAGAAAAGTGAAAAACTTAATGCTTTTTATTTAGTTCATGTGACTTGAGTAATCTTTGGGAAATAAAGATGGTTTTAAATATTATTGATAAAATACAATTGTCTTCAAAATGTAAACATGTGATCTAAGTTATGTTCAAATATTAGCTTTGCTAAATGCTTTACGGACATAAACTGCTTCTTTGGCTTTAGAAAATTGTTTAACTTGCCTGCTTTTCAGCTAGGTAAGGGCTGGGGACATGTGGAGTTAGCCATGCCTCTAGCTATGCTGGAATAGTCAAACCTTATGGGAACATAACTTACTAGGTTTTACATTAAAGTTAAATTGCTAAGAGTCACCATTGTATCATGCAGTTAAGACTCCTAGAAACAGTTTTACAAGCAAGGTATGTAAAAACCATAGAATGTGTTTTTGTTGTTGTTGTTGTTGTTGTTTTTATAAAAGGTTATAAAAGCTTTTTATTTCTTTAAAATTTCTCAGTCACTATTTTGGCAAAGTAATTAATATGGTAATCTGGAATTCCAAAACCAAACTTCAGTTTCAAAATTATTTTTCCTAATGTCTGGCTTTCTGGATGGGTCAGAGGGCCCCTGAAAACATCCAGAAAAGAGTTAAACAATTATTTGACTTGTTTAGTTAAATAGGATTACCAAAATGATGTTCAATCTTCTTTAGGTTATATTTTTGTAAGTAATACTAATATATGTTCCAAAATTGTATAGGATTTCTAAAATTCTAATGTCTGAGTAATGAGCCATCAATTATTTTTAACATTTAACATGGTTATCATGCTAACCATTTTAACCATTTAACATGGTTATATTCTAAACCACAGAAATAACCAAATTTTCTTGTATAAAGCTACTAACCCAAGTAAAACAAAAGTTAATTAAATATCAAGAAAATACTTTCATGCTAAACCAGGTAATACTGAAATTGTTTAAAATAGTTTATATCCAATGCTTGATCTCATATTCTTGGGAAAACAATTAAAGCTTCAGACATATTTGGTCAATAGCTCCACCATTTAAACATTTTATAAAGGGATTTCATGTAATTGTCACTTTCAATGCATGTTTTCTGGTTGTATAAAAGCTTTCCCATGCAAGAGGGCTGATGTGATAAGAGTAGATTATTATGCTACAGTGTATTTTCACCAGGTTAAAAACAAAACAAAAAAAAAGCTTATGGTTTGAATCTTGTGGAAACATCAGAGAAAGACTGTCCTTGCCATCCGCACTACAACAAAACTTCAGGACCTTGAAATTTGAGTTCATAATCTCACAACTGAGAAAGGTCCCTCCATGCCCTTGGAGCTGTGCACCCATTGGAAACCTTAAGGTAAAACTAACCAGGGAAATTTCCCCCAAGAAGAGAATGGCATTCTTGAAATGAACAGCGTTTCCCAAGTTCACAAATTAAGACTTCTATTTTCATGAAACTCTTACCTTTGAATATTGTTTCTTGCTTATGCCTCTAAGAACATTAGAAGTGGAAAAGGGGTCTGCTATGTGCACTAATGGGGTATACTTTTATTTATTAAGGAGTTTGCAGCTGGCCTTATATATAGCTAATCTTATACTTTGATATAAAAGATGAAGGCCCAACGCAGGTAAGAAACTTTAATGGTACACATGTTGCCTCATAATCAGTCAAAAACAAAGCATTGGTTTACTTCCCTTAATCCACATCATGGATTAAAGAGAACATTGCCAAAAGGCCTTCACTCTTCTAAAAGGGCGTCATTTGTTAGGTCCATTTTCCATGGTTTAAAATTAAGCAATGATTAGAAATGTATCCCTTATGATAGGCTCTATAGCAAATTATATTGCAAAGTTACAATATAATTACACAACAGACTTTAAATTCTCTTGTGAAAGTTATGATAAATAATAGAATTGGCTGAACAGAGAAGTAACTGTGCAGCTGCTGGCACTTGTGGCCTATGGAGAAATACATCAAATGAAGATTATAGAAATTCCGTTGTAGGGGATTAACAAGGAGACTGCTTAGTTAAATGAGTAAACTCTATCTAGCTCATTCTTTGTTCTATTTGATTCTAGGAGGTTTAGTTTATGGGGTGTAAGGAGCATACTCCAAACTCTTGGTATTATTCTCCCAATAGTCAAAACAATAGTCTACCTGGTGCACTGTATTATCTCAAATGTTTTAAATGCTTGCATGCAGCCATCTCTAGAATGTCATAGGTCTCTCTTCAACTGGAAGAACAGGAGCTGAAAGAAATGTGCAACCATGAGGACTCTGTAACCTATACATGAGGCGCTGAGGCCAGACACCAAAAATGATGATGATAACTGTTAGTGGTGCTAAGGCCCTAAGTTTTGGTCACACTCTCACCTAAGTGAGAACCTGACCAAAAAGCCAGATTTTTTAAACAAAATTCTGGGAGGCCATTGTTTTGGACTAAGCTCATGCACTAGGCCCCAACAAACCAAGCCAAACCAAAATAGAGTCACTTGTGCTAAGACTTTAAGGAAACACATAGATTCTAGAACAAATCAGGTTTTGTTTTTTCTCCTGCAAATCTCTGTAACAAACATTTATGACAGCATAGGTATCCACCCACTGAAATCCCCATTAAATCTTTTAACCAAACTCACTTCCTTTCGCCTAGAGACCATCAAGCTTCAGATGATCATGCAACAAAGGTTCCAGCCAGTTGCAGGTGAAGACACCACCTCCAGCAGTAAAGAAGCTACCCCACCTCCACTAGACAGAGCAGAGTGAGTTCCGTGATCCCCAGTAGTTAGGGACTATGCCCCAAGCTAGCAAGAAGCAGTTACAGAAAAAAGACCATCAGTCCATCTGTCTCCCAGAAAGATTTATGGGGATCACATCTCTCGGGGGAGAGACGAGGCAGGAAAATAGGGTCTGGAAGCAGGGAACGTAAGGCCAATTCACACTTTAGCTATAACAGAAAATATCCTCTCCATAGGGTGTACGCCATAAATGAATTTGTAACTTTACTTCGTCTTCTCCATTTACATAGGATGTACCCAAAGTAATGAATGGAATCCTCTAGGGGGTATTTAAACTCCCCAAAATTCTTGAATGGTGCCTTTGAGCCCATTTGCTCAGGCCTGCTCCCACACTGTGGAGTCTACTTTCATTTTCATTGAAACCCTTCATTCCTTCCTTGCTTTGTTTGTGCATTTTGTCCAATTCTTTGTTCAGGACGCCAAGAACCTGGACACTTTCTACCAATAACAAAATCAAAAACAATGCCATTATTAATCCAACAAAAACAAAGTAATTCTGAAAGAGTATTATTCTTCACTTAGAAACGTACAACATACATTGCCAGAAAATGCAAATGTTGACTTGCTTTAACCCCAAGTTAATTCAATTGAAAAAATAATAAAGGAAAATAGTGCAACTATCAAAAGGTAAATTTGATTAGTTATTTTTAATTTGACAAGTTGTACATTCATTATTTAATAATATAGAAGTGAAGTTTATAATTAAGAGCCAAATGAGCAGAGCTGAAAATTAGAGAGAGGTGGGGCAAATAATGTTCTTTTTTCAACATAAACTTTTAAGTACTATTTGAGTTACTTTGATAAATTGGTTATATATATATGTATACATATATGTATATATGTGTATATATGTATACATATATGTATATATGTGTATATATGTATACATATATGTATATATGTGTATATATGTATACATATATGTATATATGTGTATATATGTATACATATATGTATATATGTGTATATATGTATACATATATGTATATATGTGTATATATGTATACATATATGTATATATGTGTATATATGTATACATATATGTATATATGTGTATATATGTATACATATATGTATACATGTGTACATGTGTATACATATATGTATACATGTGTACATGTGTATACATATATGTATACATGTGTACATGTGTATACATATATGTATATATGTGTATACATATATGTATATATGTGTATATATGTATACATATATGTATATAAGTGTATATATGTGTATATGTATATAAGTGTATATATGTGTATATGTATATAAGTGTATATATGTGTATATGTATATAAGTGTATATATGTGTATATATGTATACATATATGTATATATGTGTATATATGTGTATATGTATATAAGTGTATATATGTGTATATATGTATACATATATATGTGTATATATGTATACATATATGTATATATGTGTATATATGTATACATATATGTAAATATGTGTATATATGTGTATATGTATATAAGTGTATATATGTGTATATATGTACATATGTATACATATATTTAAAGTGATTAATATCAAATATATATATCTGTATCCAAATATAACTATATGTAATTTTGTACATATATATGTGGACACATATGCACAGGTTCATACACATAAACACATATACAGAAACACACATGTTTACAAACATACACCAATGCTGAAAGGTATATACTTTTCACTGTTGGAATTGTTATTTATGATGGTTTTGTTTCTATAACACCCAGCCAGGCTGGCAGCTGCTGTTTGAATTTGCAGAAGTGAAAGTTCATCATGATATGGATCTTCTTTGTGCTGCCCTCAGTCATTTGTGTGGCCCTTTTAGTTATGCAAATATGGGGCAAGTAAAAACTCATTGTCCTGAGATTAGGATATAACAAAACTTTTTTTTTTTTTTCTCATGTGATTTAGCAAGAAACACCCCTATGCAGAGCTCAGAGTTAGATAGAGACTGAATCTATTTGCATAGTAACTCTCGAGACATTCTTGTCCAGGGACCAAGCAAGAAATTGCAAGTCTCAAATAAAAGTTTTGTTGATGAGAAGAAAAATCTAGACAAGTTATTTACCCTTAATATCCTAAGAGTTTGTTGGTTGGAACTGATTTTGGCCCTGTTTATGGCTAATGCTAGAAGCTCTTCCAGATTACTGGCCCACGGGTAACAATGTTAGAACTTAAAAAAAGAGTTAGCTAAAATGAACTATTAATATAACCTTGGTGCTCAGCTTGAAATCATAATTGGGAGTTCCAAATTGTGAAACAATGTTATACCAGCAGTGTTAACAAATGCCACCCATTGATGTGTGCAGAATGAATCTCCAAAAGCTCCCTTGTGTGGCTGCAAGAAATAACAGCAGCGGTGAACCAATTAAGATTCTACTTCTTGGGCTAGGAACAGTGGCTCACACCTGTAATCCCAGCACTTTGGGAGGCAAAGCCAGGAAGATCACTTGAGGCCAGGAGTTCGAGACCAGCCTGGCAAACATGAAGAAAACCTGTCTCTACTAAAAATACAAAAAAATTAGCCGAGTGTGGTGGCGGGCACCTGTAATCCTAGTTATTGAGGAGGCTAAGGCACAAGATTCAGTTGAACCTGGGAGGTGGATGTTGCGGCAAGGCAAGATAGCGCCAATGCAGTCCAGCCTGGGCAACAGAGTGAGACTCTGCCTCAAAAAAAAAAAAAAAAAAAAGAAAGAAAAAGAAAAAAGGAAGAAGATAGATTCTACTTCTCTCAGTCTGGCAATCAGAAAAGAGAAAAAAATTCTTTCCCTCTACCATGAATAACTGATAGGGTCTTTGCTCAACTTGAGGTGGTAGAGAGGCCTCAAGAAAACGATTGTGAAATTTCTGCTAACAGGCATTGTGGGAATAGAAGTTAACAGAAACAAATGAAAATTAATTGAAAAAATAAATGATATGAGTGCATGTGTAATTTGATAGGGTAGATTCCATTATTTACATATATGAAAACGTATAGTCATTCATTCCTTTGTTCTTTATGTCAATTTATCCTATATAGCTACCACTTTAGCAACTCAAGTATATAGACATTCCATGGATATTGTTCTTGTTCCAAGTCATAAATTTCTGAAATGTCTTCCTTAATACCACTGACTCTCCTTTCTTCTAATGACAATAGTCAATCTTGGATCCTCTTTCTAACTCAGAGTCAGCAATTTTTTTCTATAAAGGGTCAAATAGTAAACATTTTATGCTTTTTATCTATAAGGTGTCCGTTGCAACCACTCAACCTTCCATTTTAGCAGAAAAACAGCCATAGATAATTGTAAATAACTAGGCATAGCTGTGTTCCAAGGAAATTTTAATTAAAAAACAGATGTCTGGTCACATCAGATTTGGCCTGTGAACCGCTGTTTGTAAGACGTAAAAGGCTCATAGGAAATTTTCTTCCAAGCCTGGAAGGAGCATATCTTACTGTCACCCATATACCACTGGCCAGAAATCCCAATTGCAGGAGAAACTGAGAAATGTACTCTTCTCGTGTGTCCCAAAGTAGGAAACAGGATTAGAGGGCATCCAGCCAGTCACTGCCACTAAATTTAGTTGAAACTGCTTATCTACAGTGTCATTATTTCTAAAGATAATTTGGGGACCTATAACTATTTGAAATTTGTAATAACCTCTGGTGTTTGTGGACATAATTTTTTGTTTTATTCAACAGAAATTAAACTTAGTATCTTCCTAAGATACAAGCATGATATAAAGCACCTTTTTTTTTTTTTTTGAGATGGGTTCTCACTCTGTCACCCAAGTTGGAGTGCAGTGGAACAATTTCAGCTCACTGCAGCCTCTGTCTCCCAGGTTCAAGAAATCTGAGTCAACATAAAATAATTTAAACTCAAGACTTCAAAAATATTAAAAAAACAAAACAAATCTATAAGAAAGTTGGAAGTTTCAAAACAAGATTAGCAAAAAATAGGAAGGTTCTTTATGACTAAGATTTTCTCGGGGAAGATGGGCAGCAAGGATGCTGATTAACACTTCTATTACCAACACCAAAGATTCCAAGGTCAAACAAATAATAAAGAAAAGAGAAAGACAACAACAGATAAGAAAATTAAATCTCTGCCTTCTTGTGACCATTATTTTAATAATTACTAGAGTATTAATTAAGCTCTTGTGTCTGGGGACCACATTACATAGATTGATAGAAAAGCTTACGTATCATGGGAAAAAAGTTCTAATCCTTAGTTCACCTTAAACTCTCCTGTATACATCTGGATCCTGCATGTGCTCATTTGGATCAAAAGATGTCGCAGCTTAAAAGAGTGTGTGTTACATCCTGAATAGCAGCTGTAGATGTCTGAGATCTATTCTAGTTAGGCAGCTTCCCTCAAAAATAAAACATGGGATGAGAGCTTCTCACCACGCACTCATTAAAAGGTAAACTTTCTTGGGCTGAGAGTCACGTCAATCATCGTTTTCCTGCGAACCCAAAGCTGCCTTTTTCTCTGTTAGAAGCTGTTATCATCTTCAAAGCCATATCAAAACAGTGTTTGTTCTGTGCTTTGATTTCACCCACATGGTGAATTCAAAGAAGACTTGAGAGTGCAAAGAGACTATTTCAGATGTTTGAGCATTTGTCTCTCCATGTTTGTAAACGTGATTTAAGTGCCTGATGTCTAATAAAACCCTTTAAATGTAGTGGAATTTTTTTTTATCAAAACATTCCACCTTCTGTGTTTCAAATGTATGTATTCCTGAGATCTTCTAATCTTAAATATAAAACCCCTTAAGGTTTGTGTAATGGCAATATAATGGTAATTCACCTCAGAGTTAATTTTCCTTTTTACCCTGATGCAGTCCAACACAAACAAAAAAGCTCTTTATGAATGACAATTTCTAAATATCTGGCACAAATAACCAATTTTTCTTTGGGAAAAGAAAAGTCATTAGGAACATAATGTTATAAGGTGCATTTTGCACTGAGGATATTTGACACCATTCACCAGAGATAAACAGATGTATGTGATTTACATATGAAAACCTATCAGATAATGCAAAAATTTGTATGTGAAATGCTTCATTCACTGAATTAGCCTATGGTAATCTCTCATTATATGAAAAAGAAAACGATTACTAAAAATGTCTAAATAAATATTAATGTGGTTATATTGTTTTTAAATACATAAAATATTTAAATAGAACAACATGCAGGGAGAATCATTTAAAGGTACAGTTGCTATTTTTACTTTAAAGAGCAAATAAAGAAGATACAAAATTAAATTTGGTGATGAGCTGAAAAACATGATTTCAAAACATGGTCTCTTGTTGGATCATTTTAAATGATGGGAAAGAAGAAAAAACTGATAAACAAATGAACATGCTAAACATGAGAAACATTTTATTTCTTGACTGAGTTAAAGCAATTGTGAATATGCTCAAATTTTGATAACAATGTTCCTTCTCTGCTGAGGTCAGAATGGTACCAAGTTTTTGGTAGATAGTGATTCTGTCTTTTAAATACATTTTTCCCTTTTCCAGTAGCTAGCAACATTTTTACGTGTTTAAAAAAATCAGATAGCACAAAAACTGAAATAGTTTTGAACAAAGCATTTCATTCACAACAAATTCCTCAAAAGAAAAGTACAATTTGCCAATATGATATCATTTATTATGTCCTAAATGAAGGCATTGCCCTCTAGCTATTTACTAACCATGTAAGTGGTAGAGCAAAGATGACACAGGATTTTTCTCAGTAACGTTGCCAGCTGGAGACCTCTGACCGGTGACGCCCCTGCCCAGGCAGATGGTGGAACATTTACAACTCTGTCAACCCCATTGCCCCACTCCAGCCCACGACTCTGGGGCTGTCTTGGCCCTGCTGCTGTTTCCCATCATGTGGGGCAGCTTCCTTCCACTGGTAGAGAGCAGAGGACCACAGTGTTACTGCCCTCTTTATACCCACATTTGGTGGGTCCCAAACTCTTGTCCCACATCCAAGAAGAATGAAGAAATGCTGACAGTTGAAGGGTGAGGAGGGTGGAGAAGAATTTTATTGAGCAACAAAACAGCTCTCAGTGGAGAGGGCATGTGAGGGTAGTCCCCACCTGAAGTTGGGTGGATTCTCTCCCAGTGTGGCTGGATCCAGGGTTTTTATGGGCTCAGAATGGGGGTGCATGCTGATTGGTTTGTGAGTATGCAAAAAAAAAAAAGCTAAAACAAAAGCACCACTCAAAGGTGGGTACAACAGTGTAGCAAACCAATTAGGGAAGGATAGGTGTATGTAAAATAGGTGAAGGGTGGGGATCAATCAGAGGAAAACATGCCAAACAGGAAGAGAGGTTCTCAATCTGGTCCATGAACTTACCCAAGATTTGTAGCTTGGCTTCCAACTGTCCTTGACTTGAAGGTGGGATTTCACTGGGGACCCTCCCATCTCTGCCTAGGGGTTTTCTGCCTCCTGTTGCTATCAAAGACACGTAGGAAGCAAATTAGAATGGTAAATGTATTATAAAAAAGTAACAGTTATTATTGATAAATTGTCCATATTTTTAAGAGATGCACAGCAAAAGATGTCAGGTGAGAGATAATCTCTGGGATTTGTTTTATGTAACTCACCAAAAACGAACACGGCAGAAATCAAGAGAGAGAAAGTAATAGTGAGAGAGCCACAACTGTAGGAGTTAGAGAATAATCGCAGCAAAATTTTGATTAAAGGCTGAATCTGGTAACAGGTAAAGAGATCTTCATTTACCCTCCTCTCTACTTTGGTGCTCTTTGAAACTTTCATGTAACAAAATGTTTTTTAAAAGTTGTACTATCATCTGTCAGATGTACTAAAGTATATAGTTAGTATATCCCTTCAATTATTTGAAAGAGAAGTGTTGTTCAGCCTGGTTCGTAAACATCTCTTTAGAAGTAAAGTCTATAACCTTTACTGTGCCATGTTTTATTTATTTATTTATTTTTTGAGATGGAGTTTCACTCTTGTTGCCCAGGCTGGAGTGCAATGGCATGATCTCCGCTCACCACAACCTCTGCCTCCCAGGTTCAAGCGATTCTCCTGCCTCAGCCTCGTGATAAACTGGGACTACAGGCATGCGCCACCACACCCAGCTAATTTTGTGTTTTTATTAGAGACAAGGTTTCTCCATGTGCTCAGGCTGGTCTCAAACTCCTGACCTCAGGTGATCCACCCACCTCAGCCTCCCAAAGTGCTGGGATTACAGGCTTGAGTCACCACCCCCAGCCAGTGTACCACATATTTTTACGATGGACAATAAACTAGTAATGCTGATGAAAGCACTGTGGGGTTTCTTAAATTTGCTCTACACTGCCCTGCCCCTCCCCCACTTCCCTCCTCCCTCAGTAAAAATAGGCTATAATGATGTGTAAATTAGCCAAGTCTCCGCCTTACCCTTGATTTAATACTGTTTTATTAATGTATGCGAGTAAGAGAGGAGGAAGGCCTATACTTATGTATACAGATGTGGGAGCAGAGACTCATTATTTCCTTAGATAATCTCTTTATATATAAAAAGTTGCCTTCTCTCAACATTGACTAGCAAAGATATCCATTCTCCTTTATTTGCTAGGCATATATATATGTAAAAATCATTAATGATTTTATTTTGGATTATATCCAAATTTGTCATATCTGTTACTTTATTGTGTTTGGAAGTACTATTTCAATTGTAAGATCGTATTAAGTATCAACTCTAGGATTGCTTTTCCCAAACTTAAAGCCCTTTTATGACCATAAATAGGTTATAGAAGAGTCAGTAATGCCTCTTGGTTCTTAAATATTGACTCCTGTAAGATGTCATTAATCTGTACTAATTGGAGGAAGCTTAATCTCAATTAAGAAAAAAAGTGTAAAGGTATATTATTTTAAAAAGGAACAGAGTTCTATTATTTCAAGTACGTACATTAACTCACATTAAACTAACAAAGTGTTATCCAATACACATCCTTGACTTGATTTAATGGTTTGTAATTAGCATATCAATTGTGTGGAAATAGATCCTTCTAAAGTGCTTGAGGGTGCTTAGAAAGTTTGTTCTACTAAGTATTTTCAAGGATCCTCTTGCAATCTTATTTACATTATTAATTTACTCTCTTTAAAAAGAAAGAAATGTATCAAGGCAAAAATAACATTCCTGGCAGCTTATGGTCAACTAATGAATTCTGTATTAGTGAAATACAAATTGTTAGTTTTGTCTGTTATTTATACCCTAATTATCATCTCAAAATTTTGCTCAAGTTTGATGTATTTTTCTCCATCTGTAAAGGTGATTTACTAATGGTATAGAAGATATCTCATACTGAATCTGTTATTTTCCTAGTAGAATGGCTTTATGTGATTTCCTTGCAAGCAGCGCATATTATTTGAGAGATGGTTAGTCATTAGATGACATATCATTATATAAAATACCAGAGATACTGAAAAACAGGGAACTGTATTTGAATTCTGCCCTTCCAAAGAATTTATATTAATGCCTGTTACATTGTCTGGTGTATTAAGTTAATACATATATATTGGAAAACTAATACACTTTTAGTTTCCAGACCAGAAAAAACTCATGAATCATTTTCTATCATGCTTGTATTTGCTAATCTGTCATTCAATGTAGTATACGTTCTTTTTAATTTTATTTTGTACTTCATTCTACTTAAAAAAAAAAAATTCAGCTGGGCGCGGTGGCTCATGCCTGTAATCCCAGCACTTTGGGAGGCTGACGCGGGCAGATCACGAGGTCAGGAGCTCGAGACCAGCCTGACCAACAGGTGAAACACCAACTCTACTAAAAATACAAAAAAAAAAAAAAAAAAAAAACAAATTAGCTGGGGGTGGTGGCAGGTGCCTGTAATCCCAGCTACTCAGGAGGCTGAGGCAGGAGAATCACCTGAACCCGGGAGGCGGAGGTTGCAATGAGACAAGCTCGCACCACTGCACTCCAGCCTGGGCAACAGAGCGAGACTCAGTCTCAAAAAGTAAATAAATAAATAAATAGTTCAAGTAGTTTTAAATATAAACTAGAAGGTTAAAGTCAGCTAATTCTCAATAAGTGAGAGAAAGAAGTAAAACTGGATTTCAACATTGGAAGGAAGATTTTCGTTTACATCTATTAACTTCTTTGAGGTAAGGCAGGTTTAACTTAATTATTTATGAGCCTTTCTTAATAAGCATCTAACATCAATCTTGGCTTCTCAATAACGACAGATACTATAGCCATAGAATTGCCAGTTCTTTGGATTTACAGCCTTTGTTTAGAGTTTTTCTTAAGTTTTGCATGATTACCCTCTTTCAAACTGTCTATTCTTATTCTCTCCTCATCGACTAATGAGAATAATTGATGGTTGTCTTCTATCACCTCTTTATGTATTTGTAGATAAATATCATATTATCCCTTTAGTATACTCATTTGACAGACGTGCCCTGTTCTTTTAACCTTTCCTCATAGTTCTTATTTTTCAAACATTTCATCAACCCTTTCTTCTGAACTCTTCAGTTTGTCCATGTTTTTTCCCAAATGTGTCACTACTGTATATATATTTATGTGCATGTGTGTGATAATGATAAGGTAAGTACCGTTTAATCTGCGCTTTCTTTCCAGTGAATATGATTATGTGTATTCATATATTTGTTATTCTTTTAGTTTCTTTTATGCTAATTTGTTTTCCTGTTTGAAACATTTATATTCAGGTTAACAAATTTAGTTATGGAAATATTGAGCAATAAATAAGTATAAAGTGTGGTAGATCCAAACTTTATATCTTTTTTGCTCTTCTGACCTACTTACAAGTAGAAAAACACTAATTTTGGACAAAATACTTATATGTAGAATTTTTCCTGTTTTGAATTTATATGTTAACAACTGATGGAATTAGATGATCCTTATTTAGCTCTTCACTGCCATAGAGCAATTCTCAGCACTTTTAAATAATTTATTGAATGTTTTGTTGCAGAGCTTCTGTGTTCTCAAAATTACATAAATCATATAATTGAGAGAAGAGATGCATGAATTTAGTTTTTCTAAAGAAAATGTATATGCCTATTGTATAACACGAAGGTGTCATGGCAATATGATACTAACAACAATTTTACTGAGTAGTTAAGCAAAGAAAAAAATCAAATGTCTTCTTACTTTGCACTTCTTACATTTATTTTGATTGCACACGTTTGAGAATGAAGTTTGAGACCAAAAACATTCCTTTACCAAAATAATATGTTCTGATTAAGTGGGGAGAAATACAATTATAATTGATGCTCAGCTTCATTTTAATACACATGACCCCTCCCTGCAAAAGAAAAAGTATTGATATTTCAAAATATGTTGCTTCTTTCCTGAAATAACTCAAAAACCCCAAAACAAAATTTCTTTAAGAAATATTGACCCTCTGACAATTGAGGCAATTTATAATGATCCCTCCAAGTGTTTATGGAGAGAATTTTGGAATCAATATTATGATGAATAAGGAACCGTGTAAATCAGCTTATGTTTTGGAATACCTATACAGACAGTGGTTGGAGAACATGGTTCTTCAAGTTACAGATTCAGGTTCTTTTTTGCCCTCAAATGTTTGTTTAAATTCATGTCTTAAAAACTGAAATTGCTAAAATGATTGTTTTATCCATCTGTATTATACCTAGTGGGTTATGTTAAAATATAAATATTCAAAAAGGTAAATATGACTCTTGGCTTAGTCCATTGAGCTGCTTTAACAAAATACAGATGGACTTACGATGGCATTACATTTCAATAAACTTATAAGTTGAAAAAATCATGCTAAAATGCATTTAATACACTTACCAAACATTATATCTTAGCCTGCTACCGTTAAATGTGCTCAGAAAACTTGTACTAGCTTATAGTTGAGCAAAATTATCTAAAGCAAAGCCTTTTAAAAAATAATACAGTATTAAATGTCTCATGTAATTTTTGAACACTTTACTAAAAGTAAAAAACAGAACAGTTATATGAGTACTCATATTTAGTAAGGTTTCTACAGAATGCATATCTCTTTGCACAATCGTAAAGTCAAAAATTTAAGTCAAACTATTGTAAATCAGAGCTCATCTCACCATAAACTGGGTATTTTATAAACAACAGAAGTTTATTTCTCAGAGTTCTGGAAGTTGGGAAGTTTAAGATCAAGATTCAGTGACTGGTAAGAATGTGCTTTCTCAAAAATGGCACCTTTTTGCTGTGTTCTCACATGGTGGAAAGGGCAAGGCAGTTCTTTGGGGTCTTTTTCATTAAGGTGCTAATCCCATTCTTAAGGGCTCCTTTATGTCCTAATCACCTCCCCAAAAGTCCTACCTTCTAATACCATCACCTTGGAAGTTGGATTTCAACATACAATTTTGGGGGGACCCTCATATTTAGACCATAGCAACTCTCATACAAATATAAATTTAGCACAAAAAAAACAGACTTTAGTCAACTCCTTAATTAATGAAGGAACCAGTAAGCTATTAAAAGAAGTTCAAAGATTTTGAGGATTATATGTGTGTGCATGCATGTGTGTAAGATCAGAAACACTAACGGATGCAAAACTGATTAATATTTTAAGGGTCTATTAAATGTAGTGTTTGGGGTCATAATTTTTTAATGTGTTAGTTTTTCTGTATTTTAATATTGTTTTATTTAATTGACAAATAATAATTGTACATATTCACAGGGCAGAAAGTGATGTTTGATGCACAAATGTATAGCGATCAGATCAGGATAATTGGCCATATCCACAATTTCAAACATTTATCATTTCTTTGCTTTTGGAACATTCAATATCTCCCTGTTAACTACTTGAAACTTTGTATTTATTGTTAACTATACTCATCCTACGGTGGCATAGAACACTAGAACTTATTCCTCCTATCTAGTTGTAATTTCATATCCTTTAACAAATCTTTCTTATTCCTTGTTTTCTCCTAGTAGAACGCTTGTAGTTTCGTCTGTTCTACTTTTTCCTTCCATGAGATCAACATTTTTTAGCTTTCAGGTAAAAGCAAGAACATGCAATTTTTGACCTCTTGTTTATGGCTTATTTCACTAAATGTAATGTTCTCCAATTCCATGCATTTTGCCACAATTGAAAGAATTTCATTATTTCTTTTAATGACTGACTTGTATTTCATAATGTATATTTACCAATTTCTTTATTCATTTATTTGTTTTTGAACACCTAGGTTGATGCCATCTCTTGGCTATTGTGAATAGTGTTGCAATAAACATGGAGGTGCAAATGTGTCTTTAATATAATGATTTCCTTTCCTTTGAATAGATTTCCAGTAGTGGGATTGCTGGGTCATATGGTATTTCTATTTGTAATTTTTTGAGAAACCTCCATATTGTTCTTCATAGTAGCTATACTAGTTTACATTCCCATCAACAGTGTCTAAGAGTTCCCTTTTCTCGCTATCCTTGCCAGAATTTGCTATTTTTGGTCTTTTTGATAATACCAATTCATTCTAGCTGAGGTGAGATGATACCTCATTGTGGTTTTGATTTGCATTTCCTTGAATATTAGTGATGTTTAGCATTTTTAAAATATATTTATTGGCCATTTATATATTTTGTTGAGAAATGTGTGTTCAGATCACTTGCCCATTTTTTAATCGGAGATTTTTTGCTGTTGAAATGTTTGAATTATTTGTACGTTCTGGACATTAATGCCCTGGTAAATGAGTAGTTTAAAAATATTTTTTTCCCATTCAAGACTTTGTCTTTTCACTCTGTTGATTATTTCCTTTGCTGTGCAGAAGCTTTTTAGTTTGACATAATTCCATTTGTTTATTTTTGCTTTTGTTGCCTGTGTTTTCGAGGTCTTATTCATAAAATCTTTTCCCAGACCAATGTCCTGAAGTGTTTCCAATATATTTTTGTCTGTTAGTTTGAGCATTTCAGGTCTTATAGTTAGGTATTTGATCCATTTTGAGTTGTTTTTTTGTATAGGGTTAGAAGTGGGAGTCTAATTTCATTGTTTTGCGTATAGTTATCCTCTTTTCCCAGAAGCATTCATTGAAGAGACTGTCTTTGCCCCAGTGAATGCTGTTGGCACTTTTGTCAAAAATCAGTTAGATGGAGATATTTGGATTAATTTCTGGGTTTGCTATCCTGTTTCACTGGTCTGTATGTCTATTTTTATGTCAGTGTGTAGCTGTGGGTTACTTCAGCTTTGCAGTATATTTTGAAGTCTGGTAGTGTGACACCTTCAGCTTTGTTCTTTTCACTGAGAATTGCTTTGGCTCTTTGGGGTCTTTTGTGACTCCACAAAAATTTTAGACAGTTTATTTTATTTCCGTGAAGAATGTTATTGGTATTTCATAAGGCTTATCTTGAATCTGTAGGCTGCTTTGGGTAGTATTGCCATTTTAATGGTATTATTTCTTCAGATCCATAGGAAGAGCATGGGATGTCTTTCCATTTGTTTGTACCCTCTTTAATTTATTTAATCAGTGTTTTGTAGTTTTTCCTATAGAGATTTTTGCCTCTTTTGTTAAATATATTCCTAGTTATTTTATTATTTGTGTAGCTATTATAGACAGAATTCCTTCTTGATTTCTTTTTTAGCTAGTTCATTGTTCATATGTAGAAGCATTACTGACTTTTGTTTATTAATCTTATATTCTGCAACTTGACTGAACTTGTTTATCAGTTTCGAGAGTAATTTGGTAGGGTCCTTAGGATTTTCATATAGAAGATCATGTTGTCTATAAAGAGGGAAAATTTGACTTCCTCTTTTTCAGTTTGGATGCATTTTACTTTTTTCTCTTGCGTAATTGTTCTGGTTAGGACTTCCAGTACTAAGTTAAGTAACAGTGGTAAAAGTGGCATCCTTGCCTTGTTCAGATTCTGAAAGCTTTTTCCCCATTCAGTAAGATATTAGGTGTTGATTTGTCATACATGACATTTTTTACATTGAGGTACTTTTCTTCTATAGTTAATTCATTAAAAGTTTTTATCATGAAAGATGTTGAATTTTATTAAAAGCCTTTTCTGCATCTATTGAGATGATCAATGTGAAGGTTTTTGTCCTTCATCTCAGTGATGTTATGTATGTCATTTATTGACTTGCATATGTTGAACCATCCTTTCATTGATTGTCTTTTCAGTATGTTGTTGGATTTTGTTTGCTAGTATTTCGTTGAGGCTTTCTGCATCTATTTTTATCATGTTGTGTTCATTCTGGCCTTGTAGAATGAGTTAGGAAGAATTTCCTCTGCTTCAATATTTTGGAATAGTTTAAGAAGAATTGGTATTAATTCTTCTTTAAAAGTTTGGTACAATTCAGCCTGTGAAGCCATCCAGTCCAGAACTTTTCTTTGTTGGCAGACTTTTTATTACTGCTTCAATATCATTACATGTTACTGGCCTGTGCAGGTTTTCCATTTCTTCCTGGTTGTACATTGTGTGTATCCAGGAATGCAATCCATTTCCTTTAGGTTTTCAAATTTATTGGCATATAGTTGTTAATAATAGTCTCTAATGATCCTTTATATTACTGTGATATCCATTGTAATGTTTCTTTTTTGTTTGTTTCTGATTTTATTTATTTGGGTCTTCTCTCTTAGTCTAGTTAACTTTTACAGGATAGAAATCAATTGTATCGCTCTTGGACAAAATTCATTTGCATTTCTATAGATAAAAATTACTTGCATTACTATCAGTTTCCTACAACTTGATTTGTGGAGCTGGCCCCACAGAGATATAAACTAACCTAGTTAATAGAAAGATGATCAAAAGTACACATATATAGAGCCATATAATTCCCAGAGAATTCAATAGCAAATGCCAAGTGCTCCACTGAAAGGACACCCAGTACTTTTTTTCTTCTTTTCTTCTTTTGCCTATTTTCTTACCCTGGACAATGTTTCAGGCAGTTGTCATATACATAATAGGACTATGCAAAATAATTCTATGTTTAATAATCCCCATCCACTCCTTTTCTGAAAACTTTTCTTCATTTAAAGTGGAAAGTAGTTTGGCATAAGATTTCAGAACCAGAGGCGTTTTGTATGATTCTATATTGTTTTTTCTTGCTCTCTCTCTGTGTCATTTTTTTCTTTTTGCTGTTCTCACAATAAAATTATGTTGAGCAAATTACTCTTTATGACTTTCCATTGAGTTCATCCTATGTGTCTCGATATCTTCACCCACCTCTCTATCTGATGAATGATATTCCTGAATTATGTTTTGCTTCTTGCTGTACCAGTCAGCGGCATCAATTTGGAAATCCTAGAAAATTAAAATATCATGTCCTACAATTCTTATTTATGCTATAAGTTAAATGTTCTCTGGGATCAGACATATGACCAGTGTCTAAAAATTTATCCCATACATTTCTATATCATTATTTTATGTTTTCTTTTTATACCTCTTACCACTTTTCCCCTCTAACCATCATAGCCACCTTTAACTCCCCGAAATGTGCTATTGGCTTATCTACTCCTACAATTGGGAAACTGATTCAGAGTAATAGCTTAAATTCAGCTAAATCCAACCTATAATCCTGCTCGGGCTTATGTTCATGTTACATTTTCCTACTTTCTTTATATTGCAGAAAGTCTCTTATAACCATTGAATCTTATAGCTAAATAAAACTAGCGGAGAGTTAGCCTACACACTTAATAAATAGCAATCACTAACATCTTTTGTGGTAGGCAGAATAATGACTACCCACCTCAAAGATTTCCACATCCAAATTCCCAGAACCTGTGACTATGCTAACTTTCTTTACAAAAGAGATATTACAGATGTGATTGAAAAGTTTTGAGATGGAGAGATTATCCTAGATTACCCAGGGCTGTTCAATGCAATCACAAGACTCTTGAAAAGAAAAGAAGGTAGGAGAGTCAGAGTCAGAAAAGAAGACAAAAGTAAAGGGGTGTGTGTGTGGATGTGTGTGTGTGTGTGTGTGTGTGTGTGTGAGAGAGAGAGAGAGAGAGAGAGAAAGAGAGAGAGATTTGAAGATGGAACTTTTGGAGAGGAAATAATTCTTCTCTACCCGTTCAGTGTCTCCAGCTGGGCTAGAGGTAACCTGACATAAAATAGATTAACAGGAGAAAAGCATACAAGTTTTAATAAATTTTTACATGTACTTGAAAGCCTTCACAACAGAATGAATACCTGAAAAAGTGATTAGAGCATAAAGTTTTTATAACTTTTAGATAAATGATAAGTTTATGAAGAAATAAGAGGACAAAGGAGTTGTGGTGAAGGGTAGTGAATTATGAGGAATTGGCTAGGAGATGTGTGAAGTGATGGGGCTAGGGTAAGATCAGGGTTATTTTAGTAAGTGTGTTTATATACATCCACTTCAGCCTCAACCCTCAGTCTTTGGTGATTGCATGGTCTCTTCTCAGTACGCCTTTCTAATGGGAAGTTTTATGGCCTGTTCTTAGGCATAAAGAAAGAGATCAAAGAGCCTGTCCCGTATCTACTGTTTCTCAAGTGACTTCAGCTAAAAATCAAAATGCCAAAACAGCACATTTTGGGATGGCATGTCCTTAGCTCTTCACTACCTTACACTGCCAGCCTTGAAGTTGGAGGACAAGGTCATGAGTCAAGGAATGCAAGGAGGCTCTAGAAGCTGGAAAATGTAAGGAAACAAATTTTCTCCCACTATCTCCAGAAGGAACACAGCCCTGCCATTACTGGATGCTCTTTTAAGCCACCAAGTTTGTGGTCGTTTGTTAGAGCTGTAATAAGAAACTGATACTGTGGTCAAAAATTTGAACACATGTAGTAATAAGAAATCACCATTTTCTAAAGCAGTGTGTTCCATTATGTCTACATTTACAGGAAATTATTTAAATTGAGCTGAATTCTGATGTAAATGTTAAACTTTTTCCTAAATTGGCAACTACTCACTTGATGTCATTAACTTCACACCCAATGCCTGCACCTTTCCAGAGTGCTGCTCTTTTGTGTGTCTTACCATTGTTTCCTCAGCCTTCCAATTCAAAACAAAACAAAACAAAAACTTCTATGTTTGTAATTTTTTCTTGTAAGAATCATGGTGTTCTATATATCCAATGTTCGGTTTTTTCTTTGTTTCCATTTCCACTGTCCTGGTGCAAGCATCTTCCTTAGGCTATGTCACTACACTAATCTCTGAACTCTTTGCCTTGTCTTTAGTCTGAGGCTTCTCCACAATTCAGTCTATGTGCTGCTGCCAGGAATATCTTAAGTCACTAATTGCAAGTCATTACCTTTCTTAAAGCATATTTTCTCTGTTGCAAGATCCCCATTGCTTATAAGATATTAAGCTTTTCTACCTAACTCTAGGGTGCCTGTGTAATGTCCCCCAGTGGGGCTGGCTTCACAGGCATGTGGTTTGTGCAGTGGGCAGAACCCCACACTTAGAAGGGACCCTTGCTTGCTTAATACTCTGCTGTCACTGTTTTGAAATTCTTAATTTTGGAAGAAACATCCAGCATTTTCATTTTGCACTGGGCCTCACAAATGATATAGCTTGTTCTGCCCCACAGTTTATCCATATTTTATTCTGTAATCCCATGTTAGTATCGCCTTATTTCAGGAAAGCAAGCATGCTTCTTGTCCATAGAATCTACCCTCTTTAGGTCAATTTTTGTATCTTAACTATTGCTATTTTCTTTCATGGAATTCTCTTGCTCCTTCATTTCATAGGCCCAGCTCAGGGACTATGATTGTGCCAATAATAAAGCATTGTACATAATCTGAGCTTTTTTTTTTTTATTTTTTATTTTTTGAGATGGAGTCTCACTCTGTTGCCCAGGTTGGAGTACAGTGGTGCAAGCTTGGCTCACTGCAACCTCTGCCTCCCAAGTTCAAGCGATTCTCCTGCCTCGGCCTCCTGGTTAGTTGGGATTACAGGCACACACCACCATGCCCAGCTAAATTTTGTAGTTTTAGTAGAGACGAGGTTTCATCATGTTGGCCAGGCTGGTTTCGAACTCCTGACGTCAGGTTATCTGCCCACCCAGGCCTCCCAAAGTGTTCGGATTACAGGTGTGAGCCACCACACCCAGCCTAGTCTGTGCTTCTTAAAAATCATTTCTTTTTCTTCCTCCTTACCTTCTTCTTCTCCTTCTAGTTAACCTTGTCAAAGAAACTTTATCTGCTTTCTTCCACTTTCACTAATTTTTCTTCTTTGGATTTATTTTACACTTGACTGTTCTGTAATTACTTCATAAACTTCATCAGTTTCTCCCTATCTATGTCATAGCTGTGTAAGGACAATAACCTTGTCTTGCCCTATTGTGTATGTACTCACCTCAGAGTGAGGATAGAACTCCTGTGTACAAGTAATGCTTATTTGCTAATGCCTTAACCATCTACCAAGATTTTTCTTGCCACTAAATCACCTAAATATAAGGGAAGCTGTTTATAGGAAAGGTGAGTCAGTAAGCCCAGGAAAGTCATTTACTTGGTTAACTCCCACAAAATTATATCAATTTCCTGATTTCCTCTGCATTAAAAAGAGTAAATAGAGTTTTTTAGCACCTGTCATTGAAACATAATGACATTTTTTTTTTTTTACTTGAAGCCATAAGGTTCCCCAAATCCACTTAAAGGTGAATTTGTATATTCTTTTGAATATGAGGAATTGCATTTATCTAATTGCCAAACATAACAAAATGAATGATAGGTTTATAGAAAAGTTTAAACATAGTGTATGTACATACATGTTCACACATACTACACAATTGTGGCTATGGCAACAAAATGTGGGGTTGGATAGTTCTTCTCCTCCATTTCCTTATAAAGTCAAATAATACTTCCCCTTTTGGATATCACTGTATGTGTGAAGTGTAAGATTTTTATCTGTAATTTGACCTCTATTGTAGCTTATAATAATGGAGGGCCATTGGTTAAATGGAGAATCAAACTTGAGAAGCTATGCTTTGGACAGAACTTACTTTCCAAAATAATGGATTTGGAGAAGAAAGCTGAAGGGTAACAAGATGGAGAAGCACCTAGGAATTTTCAATTATCTTTGGTGAATAGATTTTTCCTCTGATGCTAACCATTTCTATGTAAAAGACCTGCTCATGTAAGTGAGATTGAGTACAAGGCCAGGCTAGGCCATTTGGAAGGTAAGAAAATGAAAAGAAAGGGTCACAAAAGCTCAGAATGGCAAAACTACACAAAAGAAGAAAAATTTTAAAGTGGGTCTCCTATTTAAAGCACCTCTGTGCTTTAGAGAATGTTTTCATCTTATTATTTAAAAGAAGCATCACTATCTTATCCAAGTATACTCTCTTACAGGTTCAGTGTTTCTTATTTTGAAAGAACATAGTTGAAATCGATCTACAGTCAACTTGGTTGATTTATTTGTGGTGAATTTATGCATTTTCTGTGTGATTCAGCCATCTTTTAATTTTTAACCTGACCATTTAAAATGTCCTTTTATTTATTGTCATATTGATTTACACAATAATCGACTATTAAAAGACTTCCTAGAGAAAGAGAAGAGGCAGATTTTATATTATTAAAAATTTAGGAGACTACAAAACTTTTAAATATCAATGTTATCATTAAAAATAATGGTAAACAGAGACTGGCAGATGAATATAGTCAAAACATTGAATATAAACCCTAACATTTGGTGTTAGTAAAAATAAATTTAAATTTCTTTATAGTCAATGACGTTTTTTAATTAATGGAAAAAAAATCACTGTACTTGGAGTCAGAAAACCTGAATTTGGTTCTTGGATCTGATATCCAAATTGATGATCTTAAGTAAGTTTTCTTATAAGTCATCTTTATAACCATCTCATACCCTTTCTTTTGAAGATTAAAGACCCCTTGTAAAAGCTGTTGCTATTTTAAGTGTAAGGTGGTAGTATCAGGAATAGGAGTGAGCAAGAGGAATTTTTGTTAAAATGAGAGGAGTATTCAGATATTAAAACTGGTAAAATAAATTTCCATCTTTGGATGTGAACATACCTAAGTTCAAGTACAGGGTCTGCTACTCATTTGGGATTTTGAGAAACTGTGATAAAACTTTTCTATTTGGGGCCTGTAGCATTTCTCAATTCCTAAAATATGAAAGAAACTCACTAAAGGTGAGTAGCTGGGGGCTACTGTGGAAATTTTTCAGTCCGTTAGTATTGCTTACATTAGAATGCCTTTGCTGTCTTTAAAAAACAAGCAAACAAAAAACAAACCTTGGTTTTTATTTTATTTTATTTTATTTTTATTTTATTTTATTTTTATTTTGAGACAGAGTTTTGCTGTGTCACCCAGGCTGGAGTGCAATCTCGGTTCATTGCAACCTCTGCCTCCCAGGCTCACGCAATTCTCCTGCCTCACACTCCTGAGTAGCTGGGATTACCGACACCCACCACCACGCCTGTTTAACTTTTGTATTTTCAGTAGAGATAGGGTTTCACCATATTGGCCTGGCTGGTCTGGAACTCATGACCTCAACTGAACCGCCCACCTCGGCCTCCCAAAGTGCTGGGATTACAGGCGCAAGCCACTGCTTCCGGCCTTTTTTTTTTTTTTTTTTTTTTTTTTTTTTTGAGTTACAGGTTTTCCTAATGTTTCCAGAAAGTACAAGTTAAAACTAAGGAAAAAGAAGGGCTTTTAACAAGATTTTATACTTGAAGATGAAAGGTCAACCAGTCTTTTTTATTTCAGTACAATGAAAAACCCAGGAATATCAAAACAACGAGCATTATTCTCTGGTAAACACACTCACACCGGTTACCCTAATGCTCCCCAACAGTTAGAAGTTCCTTTTCTTCAAAAAATAAAAATCTCTGTTGCATGTACTCTTTCTTCCATTTTTGGTCTAAGCAGTTAATGCTTGGCTTTTGGGTGTCCTGCAATCAGAGATGTAGCTGGTAGGCGAAATGATCAGAGGTAGGAAATTGAGGAGAAGTGCTGCTACCGATAGTTTTGTTACCTCCCTCTTCTCACTCCCACACTTCTTGCTCTTGCCCTTCCAACTACATTGTGATTTTGCTCATTTTCTCTTAATTCCTCTTATTCTTATGTAAGTCATCTTTCTTTTGCTACTGTAGGTAATTCTTCTAATAAATGTATTAATTTTTAAATAGGAAAACTATTGAATTTGTGTGTTAATTTTATATTCAGCCATCTTGGTGAATTTTATCTTGAATATAATGGAACACAATCTCTGGCTTTGGTGCACAGCAACAACATTAAAACTCTGTACAAACAGAAATTATTTCAGTATGGTCACAAAAGGGATCTATGTTTCATTTAATGTTTTAAATTAAGAAATTTCAGATTTTATTTTACTTTTCTCTCACTTTGAGTTATCCAATGCCATCCCAAGTGACCCTCCGAGGTTGGTTATGCCAACATTCCTTATCCACTTCAAATTATTTTATGGTAGCAGCTCTTTGCTCACCTAGAATTTCACTACTAGTGAGTACTTGGTCTAAGGAAAGAATTATGAGGCTCCATTATCTCTCTGACATTATATAACAAGAACTTCCAATTTTTCCAAATCTCAATTCCTTTTAGCTACCTCAGCTTTTATTCAACACCAAATGCTGTACATTTCCCTGAAGTTCTATTTCCTACACCTAACTCGCTGGGACCGCTTTTATGAACCAAGATGATTTGCCAATAACAAAAACCAACTTAAGGAAAATTAAAACAAAAAGTAGATTTTATTGAAAAGATGCTAGGTATCTCAGAATCAAAGGGTCATCAAATAAACAGGCTATAGGAAACATGGTAGTCAGTTACGGAGATTCTGCCTTTCTTTCTTTCTTCCTTCTTTCGTTCTTTCTCCTTTTCTCTCTTTTAGGGGTTAAATATTCATTTTCATCATCCAAATGCTTTCCTCTTGTGCCATTGCGGTCATTAACCTCCTCCTGTTCCCCATTCCCTGACAAACACTCATCTACTTTCTAACTCTAGCTTTTCATTTTCTAGACGTTCGTATGAAGGCAGTCATACAGTATATAGACTCTTGTGTCTGGATTATTTCATTTAGCCTAATTCTTTTGAGATTCATCCATGTTGTTGCATCTATCAGTATTCCATTCATTTTAATTGCTGAGTAGTATTTCATTACATAAGTAAATCACATTTTGTTTTTCTAATATATTCAAATTTGGAATGTTTCCAGTTTTTAGTTATTCTGAGTAAAGCTATTAGGAACATTTGAGTACAGTATTTTTGTGGGTTATGTTTTCATTTTTCCTGGGTAAACATCTGAAAGTTGGTTGATGTATAGTAAGTTCATTATATTTTTACCTATATAACAAACTGCCATACTAATTACCAAAGGTGTTGTGTCATTTTGCACTCCAATGAGAAATATATGAAAATTCCACTTGTTTGACACTTGGTGTTGTTGGTCTTCTTTAATGTTAGCCATTCAAGTGTGTTCTAGTGGTATTTTCTTGTAGTTTTAGTTTGTATATCTCTAATGCTGAATAATGTTAAGCATCATTCGTGTGGCTATTAGTCATCTTTATATTTTCATTGGTGAAGTATCCAATCTTTGTTCTATTTTTTCAATGGTTTGTTAGTTTACATATCAAATGGTGAACATTTTTTACATATTCTAGTTAAAGGTCTTTTGACAGATTGTATGTTTTCCAAATATTTTCTTCCAAAATGTGGCTTGTCTTTTCATTTTTGTGTCTTTTTATTTGGATGAATTCCAACTTATCAGTCTCTTATTTTATTATCATGCTTTTTGAGTTCTCTTTAAAGATAATTTTGCCAACCTAAAGCCACTTAGCCTCTTTTTTATATTTCTTCCAGGAGGATTGCAGTTTTTGGTTTTGATATATTCACTTGATTTAATTTGGTGTATACACTGAGGTAAGGGTCACAGTTTATTTTTTAACAGAAATATAGAATTATTTTAACAACATATGTTGAAAATATTCATTACTTATTGAGTTACCTTTGTAGCTTTGTTGAAAATTGATTAATTTAATATACTGAGTTGATATCTAGATTCTCTATTTTGTCCCATTAAACGTTGTTGGAAGACAGTTCTTTATGGATTTTTATGAGTTTCTTGAATTTTTGCACTTTCTTAAAAAGAAGTACTGACAACTTTCATTCCAGACTATCTACAAATGTTGGTACAATGAATAGTCTTGAGAGACAGTGTTTTATTTTAGAACAAAAGGCTCTTTTTCGTTTTGTTTTGCTGTTCAGTATAACAAGATAATTTTCTCCCATCAAGGCAAACATTGCGTTGGTTTGCTTTCAGCCTTGTATGAAAAATTAAGATTCCTAAGTGTGAGTTTCCCTTGTTGTGGTACAAAAGCAGCACATTATCAGCATTCAATTATGCTCACCTGCCTCATCACCATGGGACTTGGAGTGCATGTTAAACCTCTGCAAATGTGAAACTCAAGATGCCTTCTGTGCTATGAAGGATAAGGCACCCCCTTTTTTTTTTTTTTTTGATAAAGGCTCATGTATTCTGTCAGCATCATTGAAACTGTGATAGGTTAACTTGTTTACTTGTAAACACAGTCAAAATTCAGATTTTTTGCAGTTCTAGACTATATATCTTATATGTATTATTTTGTTAATTACTATAGCATTATAAAAGCAATAGCATATAAGATGAATGTTCCAACTTTATTTTTCTTTTTAAAAATTATATAGGTTATTGTAGGTTCTTTGCATTTCCATGTGAATCTTAGAATCAGCTTGTTAAGTTTTACAAAAAAGTCTTACTTGTGTTTTGATTTGGATTTTGTTGAATCTGCACATAAATTTAGAGAGAACTGACATTTTAACAATAGTGAATCCTTCAATCCTTGAATATAGCATATCTACCATATATTTAAGTCTTTTGAAATTTATCAAGAGCATTTTGTAGATTTCAATGTATAAAATTTCAATATTTTGTTAATCTTACTCCTGTACATTTCATACTTTGATGCTATTGTAAATAATATATTTTTAAATTTGAATTTCCGATTTGTTTACTACTAGTACATATATAGATAATTGAGTTTTGTGTATTTACCTTGTATCCTGTTATCTTGCTTCATTTATAAAATTTTAGCAACTTTTCCATAGATTTCTTAAGATTTCCTAAGTGCATAGGCATGTCAAATGTGAATTAAGATAGTTTTGCTTCTTCTATTTCAAATTACATGCCTCTTATTTCTTTCTCTTATCTTATTCCATTGGCTAGGACTTGTAGAACAACATTAAATGGAAGTGGAGTGAGCAGACATCTGAACCTTGTTCCCAATAGTAGGGGGAAATGATTTGACATTTTACCATTAATTAAAATGTTAGCTTTAGATTTTTAATAGATGTATTTTATGGCTTTGAGGGATTTGCTTTTAAGTTTTTCTTAGTGTTCTGTATTATGTTGAATTTTATCAAATAGCTTTTTGCATCTATTGAAATTATTATATTAATTTTCCTTTGTAATATTTTAATATAATTTGAATTATAATAAGTGATTAAGTTTTACATTAACTTGGCAGGCATTCCTGTGAAGCACTCTAGTTCTTCTTGTTGCACTTTATTTTTCCATATGTCTGGATTTTTCCTGAAATATGCTAAGGAATTTTTGCATCTATGTTCATGAAGAATTTTGATCAGTAGTTTTCCTTTTGAATAACGTCTTTGGTTTTAATAACCGGATGATGCTGGCTTTATAAAATGGCTAGGAAATGCCCCATTTTTTTCTGTTTTCTGCAAAAGGTTGTAAGGATGTCTTTTTATTCTTCTTATTATTAACTTTTATTTTAAGTTCAGGTGTATGTGTGCAGGTTTGTTAAGCAGGTAAACTCATGAAATGGGCATTTGTTGTACAGATTATTTCATCACCCAGGTATTAAGCCTAGTACCCATTAGTTATTTTCCCTGATCCTCTTCCTCCTAACACCCTCTATCTTCTGGTAGGCCCCTGTGTCTGTTGTTCCTCTCTATGCATTCAGGTGTTCTTATCATTTAGCTCCCACACTCATAAGTGTCAACATGCAGCATTTGGTTTTCTGTTCCTACATTAGTTTGCTAATGATAATGGCCTCCGGCTCCATCCATGTTCTTGCAAAGGACATAATCATGTTCTTTTAAATGACTGCATAGTATTCCATGGCACATATGTACCACATCTTTTTATCCAGTCTACCATTGATGGACATTTAGTTTGGTTCCATGTCTTTGCTATTGTGAATAGTGCTGCAATGAATATACATATTCATGTGTCTTAACAATAGAATGATTTATAATCCTTTGTGTGTAAAGGATGTCTCATTATTTCTTTATTTAAAGTTTTGTAGAATTCACCAGTGAAGCTCTCTTGGTCTGGAAATTTTTTTTGGAGTAAAGATTTTAACTATACATTTAATTTCTTAAATAAATATGAAATTTTTAGGTTATTTATTTTAAATGAGCTTTAGTAGTGAGTAGTTTAAGAAATTTGCCAGTTTCTTTCTAATTATTAAAATTTATTGACATAAAGTTTTAGAAAATATCATATTATTGTTATTTTAATATCTTTGGGATCAGTAGTGGTGACCCCTCTTTATTTCTGTGATTGGTAAATTGTTTATACTCCTTTTGCTTGATTATTCTAGTGAGAGGTTTATCAAATTTATTTATCTTCTCAAAGAACCAGGTTTTTGTTTTATTTATTTTCTATGTTGTTTTTCTGTTTCTATTTCAATTTCTTCTGCTATTTCTTAATGCCTTCCTTCTACATGTTTTGGGTTTTACTTGCTCTTATTTTTCTAGTTTCTTTAGGTAGAAACATCTAATAAGTAATTTCAGATACTCTAATTTTTAGATTTAGTAGTTTGTTTTCAGGCCTTTTTCTTTCACTTCTTTCCTCTTCATTTTTGTAATTTATTCTAGCTTTTTGAACACATATAGAACATTCATAATAGTTGCTTTAACATGCTTCTCTGCTAATTCCAGAGTCTGTATTATTTAACCATCTGTTTAATTGATTGATATTTTCCCTCTGAATTAGGTCAAACTATATTTCTTTCAAATGTCAGACATTTTAATGTTTTATTTTTGTTTGCTACTTGAATTTGTTATATTATTCTAGATGTTGTTGGTTTTTGTTCTGAGACACAGTCAAATTATTGTAATCAACTTAACTTCTTCAAGGCTTGCTTTTTATGTTTCATTAATTTCAAGGCAGCCTGCAGTGTAAGATTAAGTATAATTGTAATACAAAGGCAATACCATTCTCAAGACTCTACTCAATTCCAGATTTTAACAGTTCTTTCTATTTTGGCTGGTGAGAATAGTAACTATTTCAATCATATGTCATGGTTCACCTTACACAATTATATGGATGGCTCCACCTACTATTTTGTTTTCAACTTTTATTTTAGATTCAGGGGATACGTGTTCCGGTTGGTTACCTGGGTATATTGTGTGACACTGATGTTTGGAATATGAGTGATCCTGTCACTCAAGTACTGAGCATAGTACACAAAAGTTAGTTTTTCTGCTCTTATCCCCCTTTCTCCTAGCCCTCTAGTAGTCTTCAGTTTCTATTGCTGCCACCTTTTGTACCTGAGTACATTTAGCTCCCACTCATAAGTGAGATTATTTGGTATTTGGTTTTCTGTTCCTGCATTAATTCAGTTAAGATAATGGCATCTAGCTACATCCGTATTGCTTCAAAGGATATGATTTCCTTCCTTTTTATGACTGCATAGTATTCCATGGTTATATGTACTACATTTTCTTTATTCAATCCATTGTTGATGGGCACCTAGGTTGATTCAATGTTTCGCTATTGTGAATAGTGCTGCGATGAACATATAAGTACGTGTGTCTTTTTGGTGGAACAATTTGTTTTCTTTTGGGTAAACCCAGTGATGGGATTGCTGGGGTGAATAATTGTCATAAATTATCTTCCAAGTCTGATGTCCAAAATGACATTTCTGAGGTTTTCTTTTATAGGATTCTTATAGGATGAGGTCTTACATTTAAATCTTTAATCCATCTTGAGTTAATTTTTGCATACAGTGAAAGGTAGGGGTCCAGTTTCCTTATTCCTTATTATGGAATAAGGAATATAATCCAAGGAATAAGGAATATAATAAGGAGAATAATCCTTATTCTCCAGTTTCCTTATTCCTTATTATGACTAGCCAACTATCACAGCACCACTTATTGTATAGAAAAGTCTTCCCCTATTTCTTATTTTTGTTGACTTTGCTGAAGATCAGATAGCTGTAGGTGTGTGGCTTTATATCTGTGTTTTCTATTATGTTCCCTTGGTCTATGCCTCTGATTTTGTATGAGTACCATGCTGTTTTGGTTACTGTAGCCTTATTGTATAGTTTGAAGTTAGGTAATGTAATGCCTCTGGCTTTGTTCTTTTTTACCTAGAATTGCTTTGGCTATTCAGACTCCTTTTTGGTTCTATATGAATTTTAGAATTGTTTTTTCTAGTTCTGTGAAAAATAATGTTGGTAGTTTGATAGGTATAGGACTGAATCTGCAGATTTCTTTGGGCTGTATGGCCATTCTAATGACATTGATTCTTCCAGCCCATGAGCATAAAATGTTTACTCATTTGTTTGTGTCATCCATGATGACTTTTAACAGTGTTTTGCAATTCTCCTTGTGGAGATCTTTCACCTCCTTGTTTAGATGTATTCCTAGGTATTTTAATTTTTTTGTGGCTATTGTAAATGGGATTGTGTCCTTGATTTGGCTCTCAGCTTGAAAGTTATTGGTGTATAAATAAGCTACCAATTTTTGTACATTGATTTTGTATCCAGACATTTTACTGAGTTTGTTTCTCAATTCCAGAAACCTTTTGGTGAAATTTTTAGGGTTTTCTAGGTATAAAATCATATTATCTACAAAAAGAAATAGTTTGACTCCTTCTTTTCCTATTCGTATGACTTTCATTTACTTCTATTGCCTAATTGCTCTGGCTAGCACTTCCAGTACTGCGTTGAACAGGAGTGGTGAGAGTGGGCATTCTTATCTTGTTCTCAAGGGAAATTCATCAAGTTTTTCCCATTCATTATTATATTGGCCAACAGTTTGTCATAAATTGATCTTATTTTAAGTTACGTTCTTTTGATGCCTAGTTTCTTGAGATGTTTTATCATCAAGGAATGTTGCATCTTCTAAAAAGATTTTTTTTCACATCTATGAGATGGTCATTGGCTTTTGTTTTTAATTAGGTTTATGTGTTGAGTTACATTTATTTATTTGCCTATGTTGAATCAACCTTGCATCCTAGAAATGAAACCTACTTGATCATGGTGATTTAATTTTTTGATGTGCTGCTTGATTTGATTTCCTAGTATTTTGTTGAGGACTTTCATATCTACGTTCATCAGAGATACTGGCCTGTGGTTTTATTTTTTCACGGTGTATTTGCTAGGTTTTGGTATCAGGGTGATGCTAGCTTTATGCTATGAATTTGGGAGGAGTCCTTCATATTTGTTTTTTTGGAATCGTTTCAGTAGAATTGTTTTTTGGAATCGTTTCAGTAGTATTGGTACCAGCACTTCTTTGCACATCTGGTAGAATTAAGCTACAAATCCATCTGGTCTGGGGCTTTTTTTTTTTTTTTTTCTCCTGCAGGTAAGTGTTTTATTACTGCTTCAATTTTGGAACTAGATACTGCTCTGTTCAATATTTCAATTTCTTTCTGATTCATCCTTGGGAGACTGTGTTTCCAGGATTTTTTTTATTTCCTCTAGATTTTCTAGTTTGTGTGCATACAGATGTTCATAATAGTCTCTGAGAATCTTTTGTATTTCTGTGAGATCAGTTGTAATGTCATCTTTGTCATTGCTTATTGTGATTATTTGGATCTTCTTTCTTTTCTCTTTGTTAATGTAGCTAGCAGTCTAGTGATATTGTTTACTCTTTCAAATAAACAACTTTTGGTTTTGTCGATTCTTTGCATGGATTTCTCAGTCTCAATTATGTTCAGTTTTATTCTGATTTTAGTTATTTCTTTTTTCTACTAGCTTTGTGGTTACTTTTTTATTGTCTTTCTAGGTCCTCAATGTGTCATGTTAGATAATTAATTTGAAAACTTTGTAACTTTTTGAGACAGGCTTTCCTCTTCACACTGTTTTTGCAGTATCACAGATATTTTGGTATGTTGTGCTTCTCTTTGCATTTATTTCAAACAATTTTTTTGATTTCTTCCTTAATTTTGTTGCTTACTCATAAATCATTTAAAAGCAAGTTGTTTAATTTTCATGTAATTGTGCAGTTTTGAGAGATCTTCTTTGTATTGATTTCTATTTTTATTCCACCATAGTCTGACGGTATGGTTGTATGATTTCCAGTTTTTTGAATTTTTTGAGACGTGCGTTATGGATGAGCTTGTGATCAATCTTGGAGTATGTTCCATATTTAGTTGAAAATAATGTTTATTATGTGGTTGACTGGTGGAATATTGTGTAGCTGTCCATTAGGTCTAATTGGTTATGCACCAGAATTTTTTTGTTAGTTTTCTGCCTCAACTATCTGTTTAACACTGTCAATGGGGTGCTGAAGTCCTTTGCTACAATTGTGGGGCTGTCTAGGTTTTTGGAGGTCTAGACATACTTGTATTATGATCTGGGATCTTCAATGTTAGGTCCATATAACTTTAGGACAATAAAGTCTTCTTGTTGAATTGAACCCCTTATCATTATGTTATGACCATCTTTGTCATTTTTTTATCATTATTTATTTAGGGTCTGTTTTATCTGATATAAAAATAGTTACCCCTGCTTTTTTTGTTGTTTTTCCTTTGCATGGTAGATCTTTCTCTAACTCTTTACTTTGCACCTGTTTGTTTTGATACATGTGGGATGAGTCTTTTGAAAACAGAAGATGAATGGGTATTATTTTTAAAGTCCAACTTGCTACTCTGTGCCTTTTAAGTGGAGCATTTAGACAATTTATATTCAAGGTTAATATTGACTTGTGAGGTTTTGATCCTATTGTGAGCATATCCATAGCTTAGTTCCCACTTGTAAGTGAGAAGATTTATTTGGTTCTTCATTACTGAGTTACTTCGGATAGAAGAATATAAATTCTTTTTTCTTTATTTTTGTCTGACTGGATTAGTTTGAAAGACTGGTCTTCAATCTCTGAAATTCTTTCTTCTACTTGGTCTACTACCTTTTTAATATGTGATAATTTGATGCAAAAATACCTAACATGGTAAAAAATATTTAAAATTTTTACGCTTTAAATACAAATGACATCAAGTTTGAAGTCAGAGACTTTAATAAGTAATGGATCTCTCTCTTCCTATTTGTATTATTTAGACAAGCTGATTAAATCATCATGATTGTGTTTACAGGTATTATTTGCTCTCTACTTAATCATAGGTAAAACCATAACTTGCTGTTTCTCAGTCCTTAAAAATCTAGACTCCAATAAAGACTACGGGTCTTCCTGAATTATTCTCTTCAGTATATAAACACACTTTTCTGTCTTCTGTTAAAAACAAACAACACTTTTGACCCCATCCATACTACTTTTGTTTCTGTTAAAATAACAAAATTTTGAGAAAGTCCCACAGGCAGCCTCTGAAGGAGGGTGACAGGCCATCCCTCCTTTATCAAAGTGATAATTTTCTGGTGGTCTAGATAAACATACATGTTTTTTATCAATTGAGAATATTAAATAGATTACAGAGTACCCAACTATGTAAAGCACTTGATTTCCTTCCACTAAAATATTATAACAGTGAAATTTGTGTCTCTATTAATTTTATTGAAATGTATTTTGAATGAAACAAAATTTTCCCCTTTTTGAGTTTAATTCAATGTGAGACAGTTCTATTTTTCAAGGATATTTTTACAATACACACCAATTAAATCTGACAGCTTATCGATAATGGGTTCTTGTGTGATAATAGCTCGGACATATATTACATTAAAAATACATTACGATATAGAGTATAATAACAAGAACAATTTTTAATGTTAGAATGATTTCTGATTGTCTAGATTTTCCTTTTTATTATTATGCTTTATTTTGACAGAACTTAAAGTAGACAAAGATGAGAAATGCTGCTTTTATATCAGGAAACATTTTAATAGCTTGCTAATATTATAAACTACAAGTAAATGATTGGGTAAAAGTGCGAAGTCTTACTCCTAGTTTTTGAGAAATCTTGGTTAAAAGAAAGAAAGGGAAGTATAGTCCTCAGATATTGTTAACGGGTACTTACCTAATACTTGTTTATTTCAGCCACTGTTCTAATAGTTTTACAAATAACCCATGTAATCTCATTAATAATCCTTTGAGGTAGGGACTATTATTATACTTATTTTACAGGTAAGAAATATGAGATACAAGGAAGTTACATAACTTGTCCAAAGCTAGAAGCAAAGTAGGTGGTAAAGCAAGGTTTGAATTGACTCAGCTTGGGTCCAGAGTTCATGTTCTTAACGTTACACTTTCTTATCTTCATTCTAATTACCGTGCTTAGCCTTGCCTAAAAATTATCTCTTCATTTATTCCTTTACCAGAGACAATGTAAGTAGCCACAGTTCTTTTCAGAGAGCTTTGAGAATTGATGGTATACTCACTATGTTGGTACAGTTGAGATCTTCCATTACAGAAATCTGGGAGTACATTACTGCTTTATGAGATCTTTTCCGGTTTGCAAACTCATGGAGAGGAGGAAATTTGGGTTATCATCATTGTATTTATGTCATCTATTATAAGTACCTGATACTTTGAAAAAGCTCAATAAATTGATTCTTGGTGTCATAAATGACATTTACACCAGATCTCACTCTACATAATAATTCCTGTAGAAGTCATATATGTTAGGTTATTCTATGGTAACAAATATATCTTGAACTTCAAGGGCTTAAGACAATAAAGGTTTATATCTCACACAAAATTCAATGTGGATCAATGAGTCCTATATAACTGGAAGATAGGAAATTTTGGAAAAATAGCCTCCAAAATTGCTGCATCAGAGTAGAGAGAGGGAGAATTGTTTATATAGTTTTTCAGGCCCAGGCCTGAAGTTCTCATATCACTACTACTCATATCCCATTGGCTAATTCTGAGTCATTTATACCTAATCTAACGTCAAGTGGGTCTGGGAAATGTAATCATCCTATGTGCTCAGAAAGAGAAAACTATGTGATGAATATTTAATACTGTCTATGTCAAAATTCAAATTATCCTAGGTAGTAAATTGTGGAAAGCCAATCATGCCTGACTGAGATCCAATTGTGTGTCTGACATGACTCATCAATTGCTGGGCAACCAATTTGGCAGAGACTTGCGGGGTTTTCTTGAATATCCAAGGTGCAACTTGATATGGCCCTGTAACTAAATTCTGACCAGTAGGCTATAAATGGAAATGCTCAGTACATCAACCAGGAAGTGTTATGAGTGATCCTGTGTCTTCCTGTTTTCTACTTACATTTGGCCATGATATAGATAAAACTGGGTGAGGCTATAGCAGCTGTCTTGGACCATTAGGTAACTTTGGGAATTGAAGCCAAATAAGGCAGAAGAATAACATATAATAAGCGTGAGTCCTTGACAGCATGAAGCATCTTTACATCTCTAGTATTACTCTTTTGAATTTCTAAATATGAAAAAAATTTCTATTTTATTATGCCAATGTTGTTTTCATTCTTTAGCTACTTTCAGTAAGACCTAATCATGGCTGATTCAGCAAGCAATCAAATAAAAAAAAAAAATTTGACTTATATATAGATTTATATAATGTTTTCAAGCCACTCATTCATTAACAAGAGTGTCATTAAATTTTGCTTCAGACTAAAGTGTGATATATGGAGTCAAATTGTCTGAGTTAGATGCCCGGTCTACTACTTTCTAGGTGAAGAACAATGGGCATGTTTTGTTGCATTTTAAAATTTCTATTACTTTTCTTTAAGCAATAATAATTGCAACTCACATAATAGGCTTTTTTTTTTTGGAATAATTTTTTTTTATTATACTTTAAGTTTTAGGGTACATGTGCACATTGTGCAGGTTAGTTACATATGTATACATGTGCCATGCTGGTGCGCTGCACCCACTAACGTGTCATCTAGCATTAGGTATATCTCCCAATGCTATCCCTCCCCCCTCCCCCGACCCCACCACAGTCCCCAGAGTGTGATATTCCCCTTCCTGTGTCCATGTGATCTCATTGTTCAATTCCCACCTATGAGTGAGAATATGCGGTGTTTGGTTTTTTGTTCTTGCGATAGTTTACTGAGAATGATGGTTTCCAATTTCATCCATGTCCCTACAAAGGACATGAACTCATCATTTTTTATGGCTGCATAGTATTCCATGGTGTATATGTGCCACATTTTCTTAATCCAGTCTATCATTGTTGGACATTTGGGTTGGTTCCAAGTCTTTGCTATTGTGAATAATGCCGCAATAAACATACGTGTGCATGTGTCTTTATAGCAGCATGATTTATAGTCATTTGGGTATATACCCAGTAATGGGATGGCTGGGTCAAATGGTATTTCTAGTTCTAGATCCCTGAGGAGTCGCCACACTGACTTCCACAATGGTTGAACTAGTTTACAGTCCCACCAACAGTGTAAAAGTGTTCCTATTTCTCCACATCCTCTCCAGCACCTGTTGTTTCCTGACTTTTTAATGATTGCCATTCTAACTGGTGTGAGATGATATCTCATAGTGGTTTTGATTTGCATTTCTCTGATGGCCAGTGATGATGAGCATTTTTTCATGTGTTTTTTGGCTGCATAAATGTCTTCTTTTGAGAAGTGTCTGTTCATGTCCTTCGCCCACTTTTTGATGGGGTTGTTTGTTTTTTTCTTGTAAATTTGTTTGAGTTCATTGTAGATTCTGGATATTAGCCCTTTGTCAGATGAGTAGGTTGCGAAAATTTTCTCCCATGTTGTAGGTTGCCTGTTCACTCTGATGGTAGTTTCTTTTGCTGTGCAGCAGCTCTTTAGTTTAATTAGATCCCATTTGTCAATTTTGTCTTTTGTTGCCATTGCTTTTGGTGTTTTGGACATGAAGTCCTTGCCCACGCCTATGTCCTGAATGGTAATGCCTAGGTTTTCTTCTAAGGTTTTTATGGTTTTAGGTCTAACGTTTAAATCTTTAATCCATCTTGAATTGATTTTTGTATAAGGTGTAAGGAAGGGATCCAGTTTCAGCTTTCTACATATGGCTAGCCAGTTTTCCCAGCACCATTTATTAAATAGGGAATCCTTTCCCCATTGCTTGTTTTTCTCAGGTTTGTCAAAGATCAGATAGTTGTATATATGCGGCATTATTTCTGAGGGCTCTGTTCTGTTCCATTGATCTATATCTCTGTTTTGGTACCAGTACCATGCTGTTTTGGTTACTGTAGCCTTGTAGTATAGTTTGAAGTCAGGTAGTGTGATGCCTCCAGCTTTGTTCTTTTGGCTTCGGATTGACTTGGCGATGCGGGCTCTTTTTTGGTTCCATATGAACTTTAAAGTAGTTTTTTCCAATTCTGTGAAGAAAGTCATTGGTAGCTTGATGGGTATGGCATTGAATCTGTAAATTACCTTGGGCAGTATGGCCATTTTCACGATATTGATTCTTCCTACCCATGAGCATGGAATGTTCTTCCATTTGTTTGTGTCCTCTTTTATTTCCTTGAGCAGTGGTTTGTAGTTCTCCTTGAAGAGGTCCTTCACATCCCTTGTAAGTTGGATTCCTAGGTATTTTATTCTCTTTGAAGCAATTGTGAATGGGAGTTCACTCATGATTTGGCTCTCTGTTTGTCTGTTGTTGGTGTATAAGAATGCTTGTGATTTTTGTACATTGATTTTGTATCCTGAGACTTTGCTGAAGTTGCTTATCAGCTTAAGGAGATTTTGGGCTGAGACAATGGGGTTTTCTAGATATACGATCATGTCGTCTGCAAACAGGGACAATTTGACTTCCTCTTTTCCTAATTGAATACCCTTTATTTCCTTCTCCTGCCTGATTGCCCTGGCCAGAACTTCCAACACTATGTTGAATAGGAGGGGTGAGAGAGGGCATCCCTGTCTTGTGCCAGTTTTCAAAGGGAATGCTTCCAGTTTTTGCCCATTCAGTATGATATTGGCTGTGGGTTTGTCATAGATAGCTCTTATTATTTTGAAATACGTCCCATCAATACCTAATTTATTGAGAGTTTTTAGCATGAAGGGTTGTTGAATTTTGTCAAAGGCTTTTTCTGCATCTATTGAGATAATCATGTGGTTTTTGTCTTTGGCTCTGTTTATATGCTGGATTACATTTATTGATTTGCGTATATTGAAGCAGCCTTGCATCCCAGGGATGAAGCCCACTTGATCATGGTGGATAAGCTTTTTGATGTGCTGCTGGATTCGGTTTGCCAGTATTTTATTGAGGATTTTTGCATCAATGTTCATCAAGGATATTGGTCTAAAATTCTCTTTTTTGGTTGTGTCTCTGCCCGGCTTTGGTATCAGAATGATGCTGGCCTCATAAAATGAGTTAGGGAGGATTCCCTCTTTTTCTATTGATTGGAATAGTTTCAGAAGGAATGGTACCAGTTCCTCCTTGTACCTCTGGTAGAATTCGGCTGTGAATCCATCTGGTCCTGGACTCTTTTTGGTTGGTAAACTATTGATTATTGCCACAATTTCAGAGCCTGTTATTGGTCTATTCAGAGATTCAACTTCTTCCACATGGAAACTGAACAACCTGCTCCTGAATGACTACTGGGTACATAACGAAATGAAGGCAGAAATAAAGATGTTCTTTGAAACCAACGAGAACAAAGACACCACATGCCAGAATCTCTGGGACGCATTCAAAGCAGTGTGTAGAGGGAAATTTATAGCACTAAATGCCTACAAGAGAAAGCAGGAAAGATCCAAATTTGACACCCTAACATCACAATTAAAAGAACTGGAAAAGCAAGAGCAAACACATTCAAAAGCTAGCAGAAGGCACGAAATAACTAAAATCAGAGCAGAACTGAAGGAAATAGAGACACAAAAAACCCTTCAAAAAATCAATGAATCCAGGAGCTGGTTTTTTGAAAGGATCAACAAAATTGATAGCCCGCTAGCAAGACTAATAAAGAAAAAAAGAGAGAAGAATCAAATAGACACAATAAAAAATGATAAAGGGGATATCACCACCGATCCCACAGAAATACAAACTACCATCAGAGAATACTACAAACACCTCTATGCAAATAAACTAGAAAATCTAGAAGAAATGGATACATTCCTCGACACATACACTCTCCCAAGATAATAGGCTTTTATAAAGATCAAATAAGTTGATGCCTTTAAAGTGCTAGCCAGACTTATGAGCATAGACAAAGTAGTCCAAAAATGTTACTCTATTTTCACAACAAATGGAGCAATGGCAATGTTTGTCAATATCCCTTCATTGATTTAAACCTTGTCTATTAATATAACAATGTTGAAATTGGAAAATTAACAGAGGGTTTTTAATAGGTAAATTTACTAATTATATATGGTCATTTTATGCTACTCAGTGTTATCTATACTACTACCTTTTGAAGTTTGAGGAGTGAATGCTGCCTCTCTTTACGTTTCAAAATTAGAAAAGTACATCCAACATATATGATGTCAAGTCAAAAGGATTAAGTTTAAATTTAAATTATCTAATAGAGAAATTTGACCCCTGGAAATTTGTGTGTGTTAGTGTGTCATCTTATACATTAGTGCTTCTTAAAAAGTGTGGTCTCAAGATCAGCAGCAACATCATTTGAGATATTATTGGATATCACTCCAGATTTACTGAAAGAGTAATCTGTTTCTTAAAAAGTCTGGTTATTCTAGTGCAGACTAAAGTTTGAGAACCACTAATGTAAATCTTCAGCTGTAAATACTAAGGTTAAGAAAGGTATTTTAGCTTATGCAGAATCATCAAGCAAGTTGGTGACCTAAATGAGAATTCAGCCTGAGCTCCAACAAGATTGCCTTTCATTGCATGAATTTAACCTAACTACAAAGTTTTTCTTGTGCTTATTTTATAATGCTTTCCTTCGTTATTTCCTAACAATATTCGAAATGTTACATGAGAAATTATTGTGAGTACTTTGGTCAAAAAATGTTACAAATAATCAAATGATTTAGGTTACATTCCAGCAAATATTTTAAAAAGTGATATTACTATTGCCCTCATCAAGGTGCTTTGTTTTGTTGCTGGCTGTAAGATAAACACTGTATTTATCAACAATTTATCAAGGTCATCTAAGAAAAACTTTTTCATGGCTTGATAATAATTACAAAGAAAGGAGAAGAAACAGCAGTGCACAGAAATGCAGCATCTAAAACAATTACTGCTACTCCTTGGGTATTCCAGAATTTAGGTCTCAGAATATTCTCTGATCATCACCCACCTACCAAGATATAGGTCAAATGATTCCTTTTAATATACCCCTTTCAATATATGCTAGAATATAATTTCATAGTTTTAGGATATTTAATTTGCTTCTCATTTGGAATATTAGTTACAGAAAATAATTTTCTCCTGGCCTTTTCCATCCTTCTTCAAGGGCTCCATAGATCTATTAATTTACCATCAAAGTGTTTGGAAGATTTGATAGAAGTCCCTCAGACATCAATTTAACAAAACAAAATGGGTCAAGCAATAACAATATGTGATAAAATATTAGCAATATTTTCTAGTTCGTTCAAGATCTTCAAGTATTAAATATTTTGGTATTCTCTGAAAAATGCTTTTATTTTATTTAAATCTTTTATTTTATTGGAATTTTTCTCTGTTACTATTATATTTAACCTGTGCATCTTTGGATACTCTCCTCTGCGATTACTGTGGAGGCTGGGGAGTGGCAAATGGTGAAGAAAAATTATACTTATCAACCACTCCACTGCTGGCAATTTGTGCTAGCCTTTATCCATGAAGGGCTGCTTCCTGAATATAATTCCAAGAAACTGATCCTGTATCTATAAAGATAAACTATTTCACATCATTTTAAAAATTTAGGCTAAAAAGAAATATTAAATATTTTTCAAAGTACAGGTTTTATTATGAGGCAAACATTTTAGTAGTATTCTCTTTTTAACCATGTGGGCATATAATAAAACAAATTGAAAATTTATTTACGGAAAATTGAAAATACATTTATTATTTATTGAAAAAAGTATGTATTGAAAATTGAAAATACATTTATTACAATGCAGCAAAAGAAAAATACATGTATAATGTGATTATATATGAATACGTAAAATATGTACTCAATATATAATCATTATATGTTAAAAATATATATGTAATCACATTATACATGTATGCATTATACATGTATATGTATACATTATACATGTATGCATTATACATGTATATGTATATGTATACGTATACATATACATGTGTATATATATACACACACACACACAAATCATATATATGCATTCTAGATCCAATTCTTGATATGGCTAAAGATGTTAAGACTTTGTATACAAATAGTTGATTTCACTGTAACACTTCAGTAAATATATATTTTTAAATATTCCATATGGATTAGAAACATAATCTCTGATACTGTAAAATGATGTCTTCTGTGTCTTTGGGAATCACTTTTCTAGCTCTTTAAATTTTTGTTTTCTTATTGTATATAATAGAGGAGAAATGAAAATGTGCCAAATAAATGTACAAAAGAGAAATCTTCATAATATTACTATTTATCATTGACTGTGTTATACCAAAATTATAACCAATTAGTTAATTTTGTATACCAATATCCAATGTTTGCCATGAAATAAACATAGCGTGTTATATACAACCAGATTGCGAAAAACACATTTCTTTTTTTTTTGTTTTATTATGCATATGAGTAAAAGAGATTTGAGTTACATGAAAATCTAATCTCTCATTTCCTGGGAGAAAAACACCAGTATCCTTAGAACTAAGAATATTATGGTGAACAATTTAGACAATATCTTTTCTCTAATGTTTCTTACATTCTTACGTCAGGTGGTGATGAGGGCTGTGGATCATAAAGAAATAACTGATTATATTAATGAGATAATCCAAATAATGATAAAGAGCTATGAAGAAAATAAAATGAGATAATTGCAGAAAATCAGTGGTTGGTGATGGTAGTATTATAAAACTTGAGATATTGTGGGCCAGAAGGTTTTATTGAGGAGGTAAGATTTGACATAAAATGAATAATGAGAAGTTAAATGTGCCAATGTTTTGTGGAAGAGCATTATAGACAGAGAAGTAAGGTAAAAAATTCCTGAAACAGGAACAAAGTAAGATTAGGAAGAAGATTGAAATGACTGGAAAATAATTATTAAGAGAAAGAGGAGGAGTATTGAGCCCAATAGAAATCAAACTTTTTGTGCAGTCTGAAGCTCACCTGAACTCACCTCCAGCTGCACCCCAGACCTTGACAATTATTAGCACACAGAGAGTTTGAAGGCAAGAACAAGTCCCCTGACCAAGATAAAGCTTAAATGGAACATTTTTTACAATGCTTCTACAGCTGTAGCATACTCTAGTTCTGTAACACAATCATTTGAACTCAGAAGCCTGAAGAAGCAAAGCTAAACCCGAATAATAAATATTGTCACAGGAAGAAAGATGATAAATAAAAGTGTAAAAGAAAGAATATAAATTATGAAACAAGTATATAAAGGCATTTCATATTTGGGTCATTTTAGAATTGGGTATAAAAACAAACAAATAAGCAAAGAGTAAATGGGCCGTAAAAAAGAAGAGAAAACAATTTCTCAAAAGTTGGAAATTAATGCCAAAGTTGACTAGGAATAACAGTAGCCCCTGAGACGTCATAGAATGTCAGGAAATCCACTAAACATCCTAAATAATGTGAAATGAAGATGTATGATGATTTATTTACAGTAAAGGGAAAGTTAACCTCCATCACATTTAGTCACAATATAACAACTATTGCTATAATTCATAATAAAGTAGGAAGAATAATATCTCAATAGTTGCTAAAAAATCTATATTGCAAATTCAGTACTCATTTCTAATAAAATTTTAGGATAAAACGTTAATAAGTCAAAGCATTATTTATGTCAAACAAATACCTAATCTCATGCTTGACAGTGAAACTATGCATGGATTTTCATAGTTGGAAAAAATCAGTGGCTCCGTAAGGACACCATTTTTTAACATCATTTAAAACCAGTGCCAACCCAATTTGTGAAAAAATTCAAGGAAGAGATACAGAAGAAAAAATAAAGCAAATTACCATTATTTGTAGCTGATACCACTATATTCCTAAAAGCCTGCCCAAAATAATCTGGTAATCAATGAAAATAAAATCAGAGTTTGACATAATAGCTAGTCTCTAAATAATATGTGTAATCAATGACCTTTTATATATCAAATAATAAGCAGCTCAGTACATCTGTAGAAATTGACATGCTTAATTATAACACAAAAGAAAACACTTATGAACAAAATTTACAACAAATGCATGGAAACCATATAAGAACAATAGTAGTAAGAATTCTACTAAGAAAATAAAAGGATATTTGACTGCATGAGGAGTCACACCTTCTCTGAATTGAGAGGACTCAGTACTATAAAGATACCATTTCACTATACATTAGCCAATAAATATGTTGATTCCAATGAAAACGTCAAGCATGTTTTTTTTTTTTTTTGGAAATTTTACAAATTTATTCTAAAATTTGTCAATTTGTGGACATAACCAGGATATTTTTAAAGAGTAATATGAATTCATAATTGGAGGTGAGGTAATTTTGGAGGATAATTATTGTATCAGAGAAAAACATGAACTGCAAAGCCACAATCATCAAAGCAAAGTGATTCTAGTACACATTAGGTGCAACACAAGACAATGAATACAGAAAATACTGTAGCATATTCAGCTATTTACCAGAATTTACTATAGGATAAAAGCATAATTTCAAATTAGTCCACAAGTATTGATTATTTTATATAAGTAGAGACAATGGACATCTGATAAAATCAGTCAAATGATAAATTACATTGTAATAAGTATAACTGTGGCAGGTTAAAAAGAAGTAGTATATGTGTTTGGACATGGAGAAACTGTGAAAACATAAACTGTAAGATTTAGTAGGCTCGGAGAAAAGTATTTTCTATTTTGATGTAAGCTTTTTTGGCCCTTTTTATTGTACATTTTAATATTTCCACACTGTATAACAATAAAACACAAAAACATCATTACATATACAGCTGGTCACTTATATCCATGATTATAACTTATAAGTTTTCCTATGTTACATCAGTCTCTATATTGCTAAAGACATGAAAATCATGCAAACTCTTTCAAAATGAGCTGATCCTGAGAGCTCTCCAATCCTCTTATCTTGACTGTTAGTGGCTATCACAAATACAAAAAAAAAAAAAAAAAGGAAGTTCATAATTCTAACTTCCTGGCAATCTTCTTATATCTGGGAAATGTATATATCAGGGTTATGATCAATTCTGTATGTCATCCATCCTGTCTTTCACTAGCAATGACATTCTTTTAAAGAAATTTGATTATACAATTTCCCTTCCACGTTGATCTCCATCAACAATCTCTCAGAGGTGAATGAAATAAAAACCGAAAGTTCTGTGTAAATTATTAAATGGGCTTTGCACATTGCACCTCAAATTTATCTTTACTTAAAGATGCATGTACATTCATTTCAAAGAAAGTCAAATTGTTTCAAAGAAACTCAAATTTGGCTCAAAGATTATGAAAGAAATAATACATAATTTAATTAAATTCAGTAAAAATCCCCATGAGTGTTTAATAAAAGCAATGTGCCAAAATAGATGAAATGTAGTTGAAATAGTTGTTTTCAAAAACAACAAAAAGATGCACTTAAGACTTTCTTATTGCAGTTGACAAATAATGCTATAAAGGGATCACATTTTCCTATATGAAAAATTCACACACCGGGGCCTATCGGGGGTGGTGGGCTAGGGGAGGGATAGCATTAGGTGAAATAGATAATGTAAATGACAGGTTGATGGGTGCAGCAAACCACCATGGCACGTGTATACCTATGTAGCAAACCTGCAAGTTCTGCAAGTGTATTCGAGAACTGAAAGCATAATATAAAAAAGAAAAAATAAAGAAAAATTCTGGGGCTATGATGGAGTAATATCAGATTAATATTTTAAAAATTATGTTATATAAGTACAAACATATAAAATATAATGATTCTTTTGATATCTGGGTTTTACTAACATTTCTTTGTATCTTCTTTTATGTTGAGCCATACTCCTTTGTCTACTAGAATACTTTGTCTACCTAAAGTATTTATATATATTCATATACATATAATATGAATATATGAAATATATATTTGAATAATAATAAATATGCTTAAATATACTTTGCCTCTGTGATCCCATTATTATTTAGTTGATTTTTCTTTTTCATACCGCATTGTTTTGTCATTACATGAACACAGCATCAAATTATATTTTAAAAAATACACACACATACACACATACAGGTAAAGATAACCATATAAAAATCCTGAAATTAATGATAATTCTTAAGTTTTAACTGACAATGCAAAATATTGTACTACGGAATCAGTTCTTAAATCCACTTGTAAAATGATGATACTTTCTTCATACCTGAGAAATATTGTTTCTGAATAAATTAGACTCAAATTTGCTGGCTTGAAATTAATCATTATAGTCCAACGACTATGAAGGAGTTAACTACAGACTGGACTGTGAGTCTGTAAGATGTCCCTCAGGGCCAAGAATTCACATTCATTTCACAGGATTATTTCAAGTGGAAAAATTTCTTAGTTATTGTTAGATGCCTCTGAATAGAGAGTCCTAACTCTAAAACTCCTGCTGCAATGATTACAATTCTTCTTAGGTTATTTCTAAACCTGCTTGTGTATGTGATCATGTTCTACCAGTTACCTTTACATTTAAGTAAATATGAAATATAACCCTGTGGAAGCTGTCATAGTTGAATTTCATCATCATCACACAACTGTTTGTACTTTAAAATGTTCAAACTGTGAAGGATTTTGGAAGCAGATGGTTGAAGAAGATAGGATAGAAGGACTTTTCAGGTTTCTCATTCTTAAAATGTCACACCAAAACATTGTATCAAAATCATATCCATTCCCCTAAAATGGCAGATAAGAAAATTTAGGCTGAGAAAAGAACATGTACTTGTTTAAGGTAACTGCAGTAGTGGCAGAGTTGAGGGTAGGACCCAATTTTTCCTGGCTCCGAATTTTACTATTCCTTGCTGCATGAATGCCTTCTTGCATATTACAATCTGTTTTTAAAGCGCATCTTTTATGGGTTTATAACTCCTGTTGACAGCTTATGAGTGTTTCAGTTCCTAAGGCACTTGCCTTTTTGACTGCTTCTCCAAATGGAGACTAAGAGATAGGTCAAACTGGCATGTCACACAGCTAATCATGCAACAGGAGAAGTCGACAGAAGAATAAGAACGTTTCCCTCCCTTCTCAGGTATGTGGAATAATATAGTCTCAGAATCCATACAGAAGATGAGCAGGGCATTAGCATTGCTCTGCCAAATTTACAAATTCTACAAGGCTCCAGAGGTGCATAGAACTTTCAAGACAAAGACATAATTATTTTAAAATAAGGGAAATGAATTTGGTTTATAAAAAACATTTAGAGGTACAACGTGATAACTTCTACCTTGATATGAAGCTGCCAAAATAATCACAAAACACAATAACCATCTAGGATTTGTATCTCAAAACTTTTAAATCCCAGTCATTTTATTCAAACTGGAATATTTACTAAGTAAATATACATAATACTAGCAAAATAGGCTTTCACAGAAAGTGTCAAAAGAGTAATGTTTCTGAGTGATGTGAAAGTATTTGTTTTAGAGAGAGAGTAATTTGAAAATGCTTGTTTCACCCTCAAACAGAATTTTTTAAAAGTTAAAGTTGATTCATGACAGCAGCTTGGGAAGAACTGAGAAACTCATTCTCAACAACCAGGTAGCTCCACCAGCCATATCTGCAGAATAATAAAAGAAATTCCTGCTCATTCATTAAAAATGAATATTCTTGACACCTGTTAAAGAATGGTAAGGCAGAGTTTATTCAAGGGGTGCTACTACAACGCGGTTTGGTAGTAGAAGAGAGAGATTTGGTTCAACACCAAATAAAACAAAGTCAAGTGGAGATTTATATCCTAGTGGGGGTCAGTGGATGGAAAATTACTAAGAAGCAGCATCACGGGTAAGGAGGATTCTGGTTAAACAGACTTGACAGCATAATTGCTGAAGGCAATATGAAGACTGGGTGATAAGATTGAGGGTGGGGGCATAAGGAATTTGATTATGTATCAAAGATTGAGGAGTTCTGCTACACTGACTGGGTAAGATTCTTGCTAAAACTGGGCTAAGCAGATATGAACTTGGAAGCCCAAGAGTCAGGGCCTACTTGAAAAAAGTTCAGAGGAGCCTGACTAGGATAGGATCAATAGAGTTTTAACCCCCTTAAGGTTCCTGTATAGCCAGGATTTAGTAGTAGTAAATTCGAACACATATTTATAGTTTCCTTGATACACTTGATTAATAATTTGCTTCGAGCCATTACATAAAGAACTGGAGTACCCTGTAGTCATAATAACTGATGACATATCATTAAGTGGTCTGTGAAGTGTGAATAGTGATAACCAAAAAAGGATAAACGAATTACATAGAATTGTTGATGAAAGCCAAACCTAGGACAGAATCTGGATGGGGACATTTCAACTAGGTGGTTGAGACAAAGGTCTTCATCAATTTGAAAAGGAGGAGAAATTGGAAACAAATCCTCAATCTCATTTTATCTATAGCTACCCATTATTTAAGACAATTATATAAATAAGTATAATACATATCATTATATAAAAATGCACATACTTTGATCAATAATTTTCATAAGTAGCATATCCATAGGGCATGCTAAATCATTCTCAATTGCTATTATATTTTAGCAAGTAAGTTCTAAGTAGAATTAATTTCATCAGATGTTTTGCAAAAGTCCTTGAACAATTGTACATGCAATTGTATTTACATTTAAAAATGTGGTTGCTGAAGCAGGTAAACCAGGTAAACTGGATTTGTTACTAAATAGTGCTTTTGAAAAGGCAGTTTGCACACCAGCTTCCATTGTAACTTGAAAGAAATCTTGGCTGTTGTACTGAAAGGTATCCAGATAAGAAAAAAAAACACTCTAGCTATTTGAAACAGAGAATTTGATGCAAGGAATTGATTATATGTTTGATATAAGAGATAAAGAACCAGTGAATCAACCTAAAGAATAGTAAACAGCAGGAACCAGGGCTGGGAGAAACTGAGAAAAATGATGTTACTAGAACCTGAAAGCCAGGGTCATTCTATAGGATCTGGAATCAAGGTGGAGGTTGCCATTTGGCTGTCATGAGCATGGAAAGGGAAACTGTCTGGCAGGAGCTGGAGCCACTGAAGAGACCTAGACACTTATGACATCAGTAGCAGAGCAGGAAAGATATATTTTGGTTTCTCTCCATTTCCTCCCTGTGCCTGCAACTTGCTAAACCTAACTCTGAGTCAGTTGGCAAAGGAGTCTGCATAAATGTAGTTCTTTGAGATACAAAGCAGAGTAAGTGAAAGACCGAGAATAGATGTGAGAGCAATAGGCAAATGACTGGCTCAGTGGTTGCAAACTTAAAAGGGATATGTCAAAAATATCTCCAATGTTGCATTTATTGATTCTGTTTCATCAATAATGGATTGAATTCCATCTTGCACTCACAGATATTAATAAACAATTGTATCCTTCTATCCTAACACTGTGAATTTAAAATCCCCAGAAACTGTCTGATGACTGATAGCTTTTAAGCATCATATATTTTCAAGATTTTTTTCCTTATAGAAATTATCTACAGGCAGACTACATGTGTAGTTATAGGTTGACCTGTTTATCTCATATGGATTGGTTTGCAGGTATTTTAAAACTTTTCTTTATTGTATTTTTGGATTTAAGTTAAACCACACTGAAAAAATGATAATTGTCAGATTGTTCATAGGCAATGGAAATAGAGTCCCAGCTTTCAAGGAATTTAGTGGAGAACTAGGCTTGTTTTTAAATGCTGACACACATTTTGACAGGTATTATTAATAAATAAGGTCATACAAATTGGAGTCAAAGCAGTATGATAAAGTGAAACTGCAAAATACTTCAACAGAGGAGGTGATGATTGACTTGAGACTTCAGGAGTGAAGAAAGTAGAAATCATATTTAGTTTCAAAGACGTGGTAATGTGATTTTCATTTAGCATTTTATAGTTTATTTATTTTTATTATATCTCTACTACCCGAATAGTTAATGCTTGTTGAATAACAAAATAATACATATATTAAAAAAGAACAAAGTAATCCTGCTAATTAGAAACAGATATTAAGAGATAAGATAAATGCATACTGTTTCAGCTTTTTATGCATATATCATTTGCTTGTAGCAAAAAATAGAATAATTTGTACAAAAAATAAATTGTGCATTTTGTATTGTGTTTTCTTCAAGTAAAAATATATTATGAATTTATGTATCTGGCAATACATACAGCTCTATGCTTCTTAAATTATAATGATTGCAAAATTTTTCAAAGCATACTTTCTAAAATCAATCTTATTTTGTTAGATATTTTGGTCATTTCTAAATAGTCAGTATTCTAGCAATTATATAATAAATTCCCATATGCTTTTGAAAGTATATAATTGACTACATCAGGATAAACTTCTAGAAGGATCAAAAATACATACTTATATTAATGTATTTTATATGCCTTGCTTGAAGAAAATCTTCCCAAATTATAGAGAGGTATAAAGTAATTTAAAAGTTAGGTAAGCAGGTAATTTTTTAATTATAAACATCAAAATTAGGCATGATGGCATATTAATATTTTTTCTCACAAAAATAATTTGCAGATTTTTAAAGCAAATGTTATCAATCAAATTTTATTTTCAAAAGGGATATCTGTTTGCAAAACCAAACAGTGATTTTACAAGCATAACAGTGTTTAAAAAACTGCACTATTCATGATTCTTTATGCCCCGTTAAGCAATGCTCAACACTTAATTACAAAAGCTTTGTGCTGTATATTTAAATAAAAGGTTTCTAAGACTTCCTGCAGTAGCTTATGTAAAAGGAATTGTCAGGTATTTCACATTTTGGTGAGAAGTCATTAAAAGATTAAACAAGTTGACATGAGATTGTGGACAGGAATCAAGAACATCTAACTAAACAGTTCTGTTCTAATGACAGGCCTGGTGTATCAGTGGTTTAGAGAATTTTCGAAACCTACGTTTTCCTCTACAATCCTGTCCCTTTCCCTCTTTCTTGTATCTTTCCCTTCCATTCTTCTTCCTTCTTCCCTTTCTGCTTGTCTCTTGCCTTATTTGTTCTTTTTCTTAAAACTTTAATTCATGTTATTTTTAAGTAGAGAATAAAATTAGAATAGCCCATAATCTCACCATCCAGCTAATCTAAATAATTAGTTTTCAATAAAATGAACACAATCATCTACCTAGAATGTCAAACAGTACAAAATGAAGCAAAATGACAAGAAAATGTTTCCCTCTCATTCCCCAGACCCTAATTTTAATTCTCAAACTTATTCACCATCAACTTTTTCTTTTTCATCTTTAGAACTAACATAGGCATGTACTTTTTGCATCTTTCTAGTACAGCATATAAGTAAAAAGTGTATCTTTATTCCTATATTTATCTGTAGGTGAATATACAAATCTATTTTTTAAAACCCAGTACAAATCATACAATGTGCACTCTTCTAAGCTTTAAAGGACATGTGTAATAAAAACAGATAGATCTACACAGTCTTTTTAACATGCCAAGCTATTCTGCTGTTTGGATATATTCCACAATTTATTAAACTGTACCAAGGGATATTTAGGGATCAATTCTGATATACCCAACATTTTATTGCGAGCAGCTTTAGTCTACTTGAGAAAATAATGACAAAATATAGAGCAGTAAATGATGGGTGGAAAATAAAAATTATGAGTGCTTTGAGTGTAAGGTTGTTTTGTTAAGATAAGATCTGGACAAGATTCTCATTGCTATACTTTCGCTTCAGAATCTGATGAATAATTTTGTTAGTAAAACTTAGATCTCTAAATAATCCTAATAAAAATTAAATCTTCAGCGAGTCTACAAACTTGTCAAATGTCTGACTGAGACAAAACATGACAATTGTTGTTTTGTAGAACACTGAATCTCCTAAGGCATAACAGGACTCACTCCGTGGTATTAATCAGTGTTTGTCTCCAAATCAAGAAAGTTAACTTCTCTCAGTAGGGACATTTTAGCAAGTAGGTAGATAGACTTGAAAGTATGCTCTGAAGCACATAGATATATTAACTATTTTGATCTGGTGTGTTAGATTCTGTTTTAGTAGTTGCCTAGGTAAAGTTCTTACCTTACCCTCCTGTGTTACAATATTGAAATTTAAAAGAAATCGAGGTTAGCGATAGTGCAGCTCTATCTTTTCTAGCACCCCAAGTACCCTACGGTATATGTTCTTAAAGACCAATTTGCTATTTCTTGGCATTAAAAAATACAGCAAAACAACATCCCCAATCATATTACTTGTTCTGTTATGAATTCTGTTTGCTATTCCACTATTGCATTCAATATGTGCATTTACATTTAAGTTAACATCTAGAGTTGGATAAGATGATTTGGAACATTTTACATTTAGTGCTAAAGAGGAGACATTTGATATTTATTCGCACTCCACTCACCACCGGCAATTTCCAGATCTAAAATCACATTACATTCTGTTTCACATATAGTGGCATTTCTTAAGTGTCCTGCCATCATACTTTACTATTATTAAACCGATAACATTGGGTTATAATCTCAAATCCAGAAGGGGGAATCTAAAGAAAAAAATGGCTAAAGAGTTTAAAATATAGATGTAAATTAAATTATAGCAAACGTTTTAAAATAATTCTTCTATAGTATTTTAAAATTTAGAAATAACAATATGACCCTCAATATATGCTCAGCCAAGATCAATGCCTTAATAAAAATGCCACCAGCGCATTAAATAAAATATCACTTATTTTCATGACTGTATGTATATGTCTAAGGTCCCTATAGTAGATTAGACAAAATTGACTAAGACACTTTTGCTGCATGTTTGTAGAACTAACAGAAGGGTTTGAACACATTTTAAGTGTTCAGGCCTCCCAAATAAGGTTATATATACTAAGAAATAAATTTATTATCTTAAGACTGACTGCAAAAAAATGATATGTGAGGAAATAACACTGTTGTTAGAAATTCATTGTACATAAAATTAAATCAGGAGAGGAAAAAAAGGAGAAACAAACAAAATGCAGCTATTCTGACTTAATAGCAAAAGCAAACTAGAGAGACTAAAAAATAACCACTGTAGTTATCAGGTAATCATTAGAATTTTCCAAGCATTAAGTCTGCATATCATATGAAGTTGTTTGCTTTAGAATCCAATATTGCTTAATATTGTTCTATATTTTAATTAGTACTATTTATTTTGAATGGTGCTCAAGTAAATTCCCATGCTCTCACTTCCAATGTGTTTATTTTATACTTATTTCTCTTTAATGCCCATTCTCTGCACCCCATAACCATCCACTCTAATCTTCTGAACGCTCTTCAGATATGTACTTATCCATGTAAAATATGTTGTGCTTTTTTTGTGTATTTTTGTTTTACATTTACATAAATTTCACTCTAACTTTATGCATTCAGTCTGTTTTGAGGATGTACTCATATTGCTTTGTGTTCATCTGTTCCATTGCTCTAATTGTTGCAGATTATTTTATAATACACTTATGGTATGCATCCCTCTAGTGATGAACATTTGGGTTGCCTACAACTCCCTTTAACACTAACAATTCTTTGATGAGTGTCCTCGTATATATTCCCTATGGACCCATGTTGGAATTTTTCTGGTATATATACCCAAAGGTGGCGACTAGAAATTAAGTATATAGATAGATACTTAATTTTATTAATTAGCACCAGATGTCATTCCTATTAGAATAGCTGTACCTATTTGTACTAATGTTACATACTCCATCTTCATTTATTTATTTTTGTATTGCCCATATTTTTTAATTTGATCATTCTTATGGTTTACAGATGCATTTTTTTTTTGCAATTTTCTACTTACTAGTGAGTTCGAGCATTGTATCGTATTTTTGTTGTTGTTTTGTTATTTGTTTATATCCATGCAGGCTTTTCATTCTAGGAACTAGCTGCTGGTATCCTTTGTTCCATTTTTAAGAATTGTTTTTCCTCTCCTTTTGTTTATTGATATCCAGGAATTGCACGTAGATTCTATATGTTTTCATCAGCTTTGTTCTTTTTGCTTTATTCTTTTTGCTCAGTCAAATATTGTGTTGTCTCCAGCTCTGTTTTTTTTTTTTTTTTTTGGGCGGGGGGAGGTCCTTTTTGTTTCATACAACTTTTAGGACTGTTTTTCTATATCTGTGAAAAATAATGTTGATATTTTGATAAGTATTGTGTAGAATCTGTAGGTTGCCTTGGAAGTATGGTCATTTTAACAATATTAATTCTTCTGATCCATGGTCATGAGATGTCTTTTCATTTGTTTTTGTCCTCTTCGGTCTCTTTCATTAGTGTTTTGTAGTTTTGCTTGTAGAGGTCTTTCACCTCTCTACTTAAATTTATTATTGGATGTATTTTTGTAGTCATTGTAAGTAGAATTGCCTTCTTGGTTTCTTTTTCAAATATTTCATTGTTAGTGTTTAGAAATACCAGAAATTTTTGCAAATTAATTTTGTATTCTGCAAGTTTACTGAATTTATGTATTAGGTTTAAGAATTGTTTTGGTGGTGTCTTTAGGTTTTCCCAGATACAAGATCATATCATCAGCAGAGTGACAATTTGACTTCTTTTCCAGTTTGGATGCTTCTTACTGCTTTCTCTTGCCTGGTGCTCTGATTAGGCTTCTAGTACTATATTGAATAGGAGTGGTGAAAGCAGGAATCCTTGTCTTTTTTCTAGTTCTTAGAGGAAAATATTTCAGGTTTTCCTCATTGGACTGTGGGTTGTTGTATATGGCTTTTATTATTTTGAGGTACTTTTTCTCTATGCCTAATTTGTTGAGAGTTTTTGGTATAAGTGTTGTATTTTATCAAATGCTTTTTTTGCCTCTATTGAGATGATCATATGGTTTTTGTCTTTCATTTTTTGATGTAATATATTACATATATTGATTTGCACATTTTGAACTATCTTTGTATCCCTCAATTAAATCCCATTTGATTATAATGTATTAATTTTTTATTTGTACTTGGATCTAGTTTAAAAATAAACTGAGGGAGTTTTGTGTCTTTGTTCATCAGAGATATTGCTGTTTAGTTTTCTTTTTTGTATTATGTTCTTATTTGATTTTGGTATCAGGGAAATGCTGGCCTCATATAATTAGGGAGAAATCACTTCTCTTCAATTTTTAAAAATAATTTGGGGAGAATTGGTGGTAGTTTTTCTTTGAAGGTTTGACTGAAATCAGCAGTGAAGCCATCTGTTTTCAAACTTTTCCTTGTTAGGAGACTTTTTGTTACTGATTGAATCTCATTGCTTCTTATGGTTTTCTGTTTCTTCCTGATTCCATCTTGGTAGATTGTATTTTTCCAATAATGTATCCATTTTATCTAGGTTTTCTAGTTTGTTAGGGTACAGTTGTTTATAGCAGTCTCTGATGACCTTTTGTATTTCTGTGGTATCAGTTGCAATGTCTCCTTTTTTGTTTCTGATTTTGTTTATTTGCATCTTCTTTATTTAGTTCATTAGTCTAGCAAGCAGTTTATCACTTTTGTTAACTTTTTAAAAAAATAATTTTTCCTTTTGTTGATCTTTCATATTCTTTTCTAGTCTCTATTTCATTTAGTTCTGCTCTTATAGTTATTTCTTTCCTTCCACTAATTTTGGGTTTAGTTTGTTCTTGCTTTTCGATTTTCTTGAGGTATATAATTCGGTTATTCATTTGAAACTCTTCTGATGTAGACATTTATTGCTATAAACTCTCCTGTTGACATAGTTTTTGCTATATCCATAGGTTTTGGTTCGTTGTGCTTTAATTTTTATTTGTTTCAAGCATTGTTTTTTACAATTTCCTTCTTAATTCCTTCCTTAACTGAATGGTCAGGAGCACGTAGTTTAATTTTCATGTATTTTTATAACTTCCAAAGTTCCTCCAGTTATTGATTGTTAGTTTTATTTCACTTTGGTCAGGGATGATTTGATATTATCTGTGTCTGGATTGATAGGTATTATTGTTTCTCTCAGTACTTTAGGTCACACTTCATCATCATCTACGTTTGTAATTTCTGATTAGAAATCTGTCTCAGCTTTGTCTTTGTTCCTGTACCTGAAATGTGTCATTACCTTCTGATTGGACTTCAAGATTTTCATTATATTTGTTTTTAAGTAGTTTGTATGTGATATGTGGGTGTTATGGTATTTTTCCTGCTTAGAGTTGTTTGATCCTCTTTGATGTGTGGTTTAATATATTTCACTATTTTGGGGAAATCCTCAGCCATCATCCCTTCAAACATTTTTTTTCTGCTATATTATCTTTCTCTTCTTTTTCTCAGATTCAAAATATACATACGGTAGGCAATGTCATATTGTCCTACAACTCTTGGATGCTCTGCTCTAGTTTTTGTTTACTTGTTTTTTCTTCTTGATTGCTTGCTATGTTTTCCTCTTTATATTCTAGTTTAGATAATGTCTTTCAAACTATCTTCAAGTTCACTGATTTTTTTCGGTTTTTTTTTTTTTTTTTACTTAGATCAAACAGATCAGTTTGTCTAAGACAACCTTAATCTCTGTCACAGTGTCATTTATTTCTAGTATCTCTCTAGAAGTTTTTACATATGTCCACTCAACATTTTCTTGTCTCCATTTGTCTGAAAAAATTCTTCATGAAACATTAAAATACTAATCATAGTCTTTTAAATTGTCTATTTCATATTTCCAATATTTGTGTCTTTCATGAATATTTTTCTGTTAACTGTTTTTTCTCTTGACAATGTGTTGTTTCTTGCCTTTTTTTTGTTTTATAATTTTAATTTATTGTTGCAAACAGTGTATAGAACTTTAGAGCCTGTGATAAGCGGTAAGTCTTTTGTTCCATAATCTACATCATGTCTTTCACCACTTCCTACCAACCATAGGTAGGGAAACATCCAAGCATCAGTTTCTTATACTGCTTTTCCATTCCAGCTTTTTCTTGTTAAAATGTGCCTTAGGCATTATTATGTGTATAAAATAAAGATAATTCTGCTTATAGCAATAGTCTGACAAACACAAAATTTGGTTTATCAAACCAGACTCACAAAAAGCAGAGATCAACCTAGACAGACAGGATAGGTCCTTGGTCTGAATGTGTCCCTCAAATTTCATGTGTTGTAAATTTATCCCCAAATTCATATGATTATGGAATTTGGAGGTGGGGTATTTGGGAGATAATTAGGATTAGATAAGCTCATCAGGGTGGAGCTCTCATGATGGGACTGGTGGCTTTACGAGAAGAGGAAGACAGACCTGAGTGCACAAGGTCTTACACCTCACTATCTGGTGCCCTGTGCCATGTCATGATACGGTAAGAAGGCACTTACCAGATGCCAGGACCATGCTTTTGGACTTTCCAGCTTCCAGAACCACTAGTTAAATAAACTTTTTTTATTTGTAAATTAACTAGTGGGTGGTATTCTGTTATAGCAGCATAAAATTAACTGTGATAGTCCTGCTAAATTTAGGGCATATCCAAGGACTCTTCTTTATCTTTCTACTAGTCAGTACCTTCAAGAGGTTTGATTTATATTTTATATGAGGATTGAGTCAAGTCATTTCTCTCTAACCATCCTCCTAGTGGGAGTTGAAATATGAGCTACAAACTAAATACTAATTCCTTTTTTCCATGAAAAAGTAGATGATAATTTGAAATAAGTAATATTTAGTAGGGATGGATAGAAAAGAGTCAGTTAGAGAGACAGATGAACAGGATGCATAAAGACTTGATAACTGGCTTAATGTGGAAGTTATGGAAGAATGGATCCCTAGCTTATTAATTTTTGTTTGTTAACATATATATTTAACATCTCTTAATAGTATATATATACATAATCTTAATACATATCTATTACATATTTGTTAAACAGCTATATTATCCAAATATATATTTTCTTTATTTTCAGCTGGTTCTTACATTTGACCAAGCAAAGAATATATTTATGTCAACTGAAATTAGCAATTCTTTTGAATGGCTGAAATAGGTAAAAATATGCTATGCAAGTATTTTTACTAAATAAAAGATGAAATAAATCTAAACTGGGCTTTAGTTTAGATTATTTTTATTGACTTCTTTAATCTGCTATTAAGGCTTTCCAGTGGATATTTTATTTTGGATATTGTATTTATCAGTACTACGAATTTAATGATTCTTTCTTAGAGCTAAATTTTATCTTTAGAGTCTTCCCCAGACCTTACTATTCATGGCAGACTTAATTCTTTCTTCACTATTCCCCCAGGAAGAAATAAGCTAGAGTAGATATCTTCTAATCTAAGGAGGGCTCTGCCTAAGCTGGAGGGTTTTTTGTTTGCTTGTTTGAGTTTCTTTTTTTTTAGACTTTTTGCATCATTAATTTTCTAATGGGTTTAAGAAAACTATTTTGGAAATTATTAAAGATTATCTACTAGTTAACAATGGGAGCAATGGTCTCTAATATAAATGACAGTATACGCTTAGAGAACAATATTAATATTAAAATATTTCTCACAAATATCTATATTTACAAGAATAGCTTTTGTTTATTTAAATATTTTGTACCGTTTTACCGTGAAAATATTTTTCCACCATAGAGACAGTCTTTGATAAACCAAGCCTCCCAAGTAGCCTCAGCCTCGACTAGCTGGGATTACAGGCACTTGCCACCATGCCTGGCTAAGTTTTGTATTTTTAGTAGAGACGGGGTTTCACCGTGTTAGCCAGGATGGTCTCGAACTCCTGAGCTCAAGTGATCTGCCTGTCTCGGCCTCCCAAAGTGCTGAGATTACAGGCATGAGCCACTGTGCCCAGACAGCAAGTGTTAATTTACGTAGCATAATTTACTTAGCCCGTAATGAAGGCAGTGACCCAGAGGCATTACTGTTTAGAGTACAGAATCTCAGTCATGTTCAGGAGTAAGAGTTGTTCTGAAAGTGGAAATCTAGGATGAAGCCAAAACACGAGGCTTGGTTGGAAGTTTTCACAGTGTAGTTAGGGCTTACAGCTCTTTTTTCATTCTTTGAAAGCAGGCGTAAGTAAACCCTCTTCATTCTAGACCAGGCGCGGTAGCTCACGCCTGTAATCCCAGCACTTTGGGAGGCTGAGGCAGGTGGATCACGAGGTCAGGAGATCGAGACCATCCTGGCTAACACGGTGAAACTCCGTCTCTACTAAAAATACAAAAAATTAGCCAGTCGTGGTGGCGAGCGCCTATAGTTCCAGGTACTCGGGAGGCTGAGACAGAAGAATGGTGTGAACCTGGGAGGCGGAGCTTGCAGTGAGCCGAGATGGCAACACTGCACTCCAGCCGGGGCGACAGAGGGAGACTCCGTCTCAAAAAAAAAAAAAAAAAAAAAAAAAAACACAAAAAAAACCTCTTCATTCTATCAGAAATGTGAAGTTTACTCTTTTTTTTATTTTTTTATTTATTTTTATGTTTTGTTTATTTATTTTTATTATTATTATACTTTAAGTTTTAGGGTACATGTGCACAATGTGCAGGTTAGTTACATATGTATACGTGTGCCATGCTGGTGCGCTCCACCCACTAACTCATCATCTAGCATTAGGTATATCTCCCAATGCTATCCCTCCCCCCTCCCCCCACCCCACAACAGTCCCCAGAGTGTGATGTTCCCCTTCCTGTGTCCATGTGTTCCCATTGTTCAATTCCCACCTATGAGTGAGAATATGCGGTGTTTGGTTTTTTGTTCTTGTGATAGTTTACTGAGAATGATGATTTCCAATTTCATCCATGTCCCTACAAAGGACGTGAACTCATCATTTTTTATGGCTGCATAGTATTCCATGGTGTATATGTGCCACATTTTCTTAATCCAGTCTATCATTGTTGGACATTTGGGTTGGTTCCAAGTCTTTGCTATTGTGAATAATGCCACAATAAACATACGTGTGCATGTGTCTTTATAGCAGCATGATTTATAATCCTTTGGGTATATACCCATTAATGGGATGGCTGGGTCAAATGGTATTTCTAGTTCTAGATCCCTGAGGAATCACCACACTGACTTCCACAATGGTTGAACTAGTTTACAGTCCCACCAACAGTGTAAAAGTGTTCCTATTTCTCCACATCCTCTCCAGCACCTGTTGTTTCCTGACTTTTTAATGATTGCCATTCTAACTGGTGTGAGATGGTATCTCATTGTGGTTTTGATTTGCATTTCTCTGATGGCCAGTGATGATGAGCATTTTTTCATGTGTCTTTTGGCTACATAAATGTCTTCTTCTGAGAAGTGTCTGTTCATGTCCTTCGCCCACTTTTTGATGGGGTTGTTTTTTTCTTGTAAATTTGTTTGGGTTCATTGTAGATTCTGGATATTAGCCCTTTGTCAGATGAGTAGGTTGTGAAAATTTTCTCCCATGTTGTAGGTTGCCTGTTCACTCTGATGGTAGTTTCTTTTGCTGTGCAGAAGCTCTTAAGTTTAATTAGATCCCATTTGTCAATTTTGTCTTTTGTTGCCATTGCTTTTGGTGTTTTAGACATGAAGTCCTTGCCCATGCCTATGTCCTGAATGGTAATGCCTAGGTTTTCTTCTAGGGTTTTTATGGTTTTAGATCGAACATTTAAGTGTTTAATCCATCTTGAATTGATTTTTGTATAAGGTGTAATGAAGGGATCCAGTTTCAGCTTTCTACATATGGCTAGCCAGTTTTCCCAGCACCATTTATTAAATAGGGAATCCTTTCCCCATTGCTTGTTTTTCTCAGGCTTGTCAAAGATCAGATAGTTGTAGATATGCGGCATTATTTCTGAGGGCTCTGTTCTGTTCCATTGATCTATATGTCTGTTTTGGTACCAGTACCATGCTGTTTTGGTTACTGTAGCCTTGTAGTATAGTTTGAAGTCAGGTAGCGTGATGCCTCCAGCTTTGTTTTTTGGCTTAGGATTGACTTAGCAATGTGGGCTCTTTTTTGGTTCCATATGAACTTTAAAGTACTATTTTCCAATTCTGTGAAGAAAGTGGTAGCTTGATGGGTATGGCATTGAATCTGTAAATTACCTTGGGCAGTATGGCCATTTTCACGATATTGATTCTTCCCACCCATGAGCATGGAATGTTCTTCCATTTGTTTGTGTCCTCTTTTATTTCCTTGAGCAGTGGTTTGTAGTTCTCCTTGAAGAGGTCCTTCACATCCCTTGTAAGTTGGATTCCTAGGTATTTTATTCTCTTTGAAGCAATTGTGAATGGGAGTTCACTCATGATTTGGCTCTCTGTTTGTCTGTTGTTGGTGTATAAGAATGCTTGTGATTTTTGTACATTGATTTTGTATCCTGAGACTTTGCTGAAGTTGCTTATCAGCTTGAGGAGATTTTGGGCTGAGACAATGGGGTTTTCTAGATATACGATCATGTCGTCTGCAAACAGGGACAATTTGACTTCCTCTTTTCCTAATTGAATACCCTTTATTTCTTTCTCCTGCCTAATTGCCCTGGCCAGAACTTCCAACACTATGTTGAATAGGAGTGGTGAGAGAGAGCATCCCTGTCTTGTGCCAGTTTTCAAAGGGAATGCTTCCAGTTTTTGCCCATTCAGTATGATATTGGCTGTGGGTTTGTCATATATAGCTCTTATTATTTTGAAATACGTCCCATCAATACCTAATTTATTGAGAGTTTTTAGCATGAAGGGTTGTTGAATTTTGTCAAAGGACTTTTCTGCATCTATTGAGATAATCATGTGGTTTTTGTCTTTGGTTCTGTTTATATGCTGGATTACATTTATTGATTTGCGTATATTGAAGCAGCCTTGCATCTCAGGGATGAAGCCCACTTGATCATGGTGGATAAGCTTTTTGATGTGCTGCTGGAGTCAGTTTGCCAGTATTTTATTGAGGATTTTTGCATCAATGTTCATCAAGGATATTGGTCTAAAATTCTCTTTTTTTGTTGTGTCTCTGCCAGGTTTTGGTATCAGGATGATGCTGGCCTCATAAAATGAGTTAGGGAGGATTCCCTCTTTTTCTATTGATTGGAATAGTTTCAGAAGGAATGGTACCAGTTCCTCCTTGTACCTCTGGTAGAATTCGGCTGTGAATCCATCTGGTCCTGGACTCTTTTTGGTTGGTAAGCTATTGATTATTGCCACAATTTCAGAGCCTGTTATTGGTCTATTCAGAGATTCAACTTCTTCCTGGTTTAGTCTTGGGAGAGTGTATGTGTCGAGGAATTTATCCATTTCTTCTAGATTTTCTAGTTTATTTGTGTAGAGGTGTTTGTAGTATTCTCTGATGGTAGTTTGTATTTCTGTGGGATCAGTGGTGATATCCCCTTTGTCATTTTTATTGCATCTATTTGATTCTTCTCTCTTTTTTTCTTTATTAGTCTTGCTAGCGGTCTATCAATTTTGTTGATCCTTTCAAAAAAACAGCTCCTGGATTCATTAATTTTTGAATGGTTTTTTGTGTCTCTATTTCCTTCAATTCTGCTCTGATTTTAGTTATTTCTTGCCTTCTGCTAGCTTTTGAATGTGTTTACTCTTGCTTTTCTAGTTCTTTTAATTGTGATGTTAGGGTGTCAATTTTGGATCTTTCCTACTTTCTCTTGTGGGCATTTAGTGCTATAAGTTTCCCTCTACACACTGCTTTGAATGCGTCCCAGAGATTCTGGTATGTTGTGTCTTTGTTCTCGTTGGTTTCAAAGAACATCTTTGTTTCTGCCTTCATATCGTTATGTACCCAGTAGTCATTCAGGAGCAGGTTGTTCAGTTTCCATGTAGTTGAGCGGTTTTGAATGAGATTCTTAATCCTGAGTTCTAGTTTGATTGCACTGTGGTCTGAGAGATAGTTTGTTATAATTTCTGTTCTTTTACATTTTCTGAGGAGAGCTTTACTTCCAAGTATGTGGTCAATTTTGTAATAGGTTTGGTGTGGTGCTGAAAAAAATGTATATTCTGTTGATTTGGGGTGGAGAGTTCTGTAGATGTCTATTAGGTCTGCTTGGTGCAGAGCTGAGTTCAATTCCTGGGTATCCTTGTTGATTTTCTGTCTCGTTGATCTGTCTAATGTTGACAGTGGGGTGTTAAAGTCTCCCATTATTAATGTGTGGGAGTCTAAGTCTCTTTGTAGGTCACTCAGGACTTGCTTTATGAATCTAGGTGCTCCTGTATTGGGTGCATATATATTTAGGATAGTTAGCTCTTCTTGTTGAATTGATCCCTTTACCATTATGTAATTGCCTTCTTTGTCTCTTTTGATCTTTGTTGGTTTAAAGTCTGTTTTATCAGAGACTAGGATTGCAACCCCTGCCTTTTTTTGTTTTCCATTGGCTTGGTAGATCTTCCTCCATCCTTTTATTTTGAGCCTATGTGTGTCTCTGCACGTGAGAAGGGTTTCCTGAATACAGCACACTGATGGGTCTTGACTCTTTATCCAATTTGCCAGTCTGTGTCTTTTAATTGGAGCATTTAGTCCATTTACATTTAAAGTTAATATTGTTATGTGTGAATTTGATCCTGTCATTATGATGTTAGCTGGTTATTTTGCTCGTTAGTTGATGCAGTTTCTTCCTAGTATCGATGGTCTTTACATTTTGGCATGATTTTGCAGTGGCTGGTACCGGTTGTTCCTTTTCATGTTTAGCGCTTCCTTCAGGAGCTCTTTTAGGGCAGGCCTGGTGGTGACAAAATCTCTCAACATTTGCTTGTCTGTAAAGTATTTTATTTCTCCTTCACTTATGAAGCTTAGTTTGGCTGGATATGAAATTCAGGGTTGAAAATTCTTTTCTTTAAGAATGTTGAATATTGGCCCCCACTCTCTTCTGGCTTGTAGAGTTTCTGCCGAAAGATCTGCTGTTAGTCTGATGGGCTTCCCTTTGAGGGTAACCCGACCTTTCTCTCTAGCTGCCCTTAACATTTTTTCCTTCATTTCAACTTTGGTGAATCTGACAATTATGTGTCTTGGAGTCGCTCTTCTCGAGGAGTATCTTTGTGGTGTTCTCTGTATTTCCTGAATCTGAATGTTGGCCTGCCTTGCTAGATTGGGGAAGTTCTCCTGGATAATATCCTGCAGAGTGTTTTCCAACTTGGTTCCATTCTCCCCGTCACTTTCAGGTACACCAATCAGACGTAGATTTGGTCTTTTCACATAGTCCCATATTTCTTGGAGGCTTTGTTCATTTCTTTTTATTCTTTTTTCTCTACACTTCCCTTCTCACTTCATTTCATTCATTTCATCTTCCATCGCTGATACCCTGTCTTCCAGTTGATCGCATCGGCTCCTGAGTCTTCTGCATTCTTCATGTAGTTCTTGAGCCTTGGTTTTCAGCTCCATCAGCTCCTTTAAGCACTTCTCTGTGTTGGTTATTCTAGTTATACATTCTTCTAAATTTTTTTCAAAGTTTTCAACTTCTTTGCCTTTGGTTTGAATGTCCTCCCGTAGCTCGGAGTAATTTGATCATCTGAAGGCTTCTTCTCTCAGCTCGTCAAAGTCATTCTCCGTCCAGCTTTGTTCTGTTGCTGGTGAGGAACTGCATTCCTTTGGAGGAGGAGAGACGCTCTGCTTTTCAGAGTTTCCAGTTTTTCTGCTCTGTTTTTTCGCCATCTTTGTGGTTTTATCTACTTTTGGTCTTTGATGATGGTGATGTACAGATGGGTTTTTGGTGTGGATGTCCTTTCTGTTTGTTAGTTTTCCTTCTAACAGACAGCACCCTCAGCTGCAGGTCTGTTGGAGTACCCGGCTGTGTGAGGTGTCAGTCTGCCCCTGCTGGGGGATGCCTCCCAGTTAGGCTACTCGGGGATCAGGGGTCACGAACCCACTTGAGGAGGCAGTCTGCCCTTTCTCAGATCTCCAGCTGTGTGCTGGGAGAACCACTGCTCTCTTCAAAGCTGTCAGACAGGGACATTTAAGTCTGCAGAGGTTACTGCTGTCTTTTTGTCTGTGCCCTGCCCACAGAGGTGGAGCCTACAGAGGCAGGCAGGCCTCCTTGAGCTGTGGTGGGCTCCACCCAGTTCCAGCTTCCTGGCTGCTTTGTTTACCTAAACAAGCCTGGGCAATGGCAGGCGCCCCTCCCCCAGCCTCGCTGCCGCTTTGCCTTTTGATCTCAGACTGCTGTGCTAGCAATCAGCGAGACTCCGTGGGTGTAGGACCGTCTTATCCAGGCGCGGGATATAATCTCCTGGTGCGCCGTTTTTTAAGCCCATCGGAAAAGTGCAGTATTCGGGTGGGAGTGACCCGATTTTCCAGGTGCCGTCTGTCACCCCTTTCTTTGACTAGGAAAGGGAACTCCCTGACCCCTTGCACTTCCCGAGTGAGGCAATGCCTCGCCCTGCTTCAGCTCGTGCACAGTGTGCGCACCCACTGACCTGCGCCCACTGTCTGGCACTCCTTAGTGAGATGAACCCGGTACCTCAGATGGAAATGCAGAAATCACCCGTCTTCTGCATCGCTCACGCTGGGAGCTGTAGACAGGAGCTGTTTCTATTCGGCCATCTTGGCTCCTCCCCCTCTGCCAAATTATTAAATCATTTATTATATATTGATGTGTAGGAGGAGTTGATTGGCCTTGTCCTATTGGTATGATTAAGATGATATTCCTTTTTACTAATGGACCTTATGTTAAGAATTTTGAGTGATTCAAAGACAGATAACCAAACACGGAATGTTCTCACTCATAGTTGGAATTGAACAATGAGAACACCTGGACACAGGGTGGGGAACATCACACACCAGGGCCTGTCGGTGGGTTGCGGGGCTGGGGAGGGATAGCATTAGGAGAAATACCTAATGTAAATGATGAGTTGATGCGTGCAGCAAACCAACATGGCATGTGTATACCTATGTATCAAACCTGCACGTTGTGCACATGTACCCTAGAACTTAAAGTACAGTAAAAAAAGACAATAATAAACTATCAAACCATAAAAAAAAATTTTTGAGTGATTATATCATTTTTTATAATTTGAAGCTGTTAATTACATTTCTTTAAGAGATTACAAGCTTCACTTGATGCTCTGAAAACTAATAGTGGAAATTTGGTTTCTCCTTAAACATTAGTCTTGAAAAATGCAGGTTTTCATTATCTTTTTTTTTTTAAATTTTCAGAACAGGAAGGGATTGTTTAGCTGAAATGGAAGATTTGATATCTGAACAAGGAGTTCTAAATAATTCTCTGCACCTTAATCTGCCAATACTCACTCTAAAACTACACAAAGGAGATTCAAAATAAAAAGAGGATGATAAACGGCAAAACCATCTGAGGTACTTTTTGTTTTTTCATGTATATATGTTTTGAACTTAACAATGAGTTAATTCAGTAAGAATTGTTTAAGATCTAATAGCTCTTAATTCATTTTCTTTATATTATCATCCTTACTCCTGGAATGTACCTTCCTTAGCATTTATTTGCTTAGAAAGCATATTTCCAGCAGAATTTATATACATATGCCAATTAAGAAATTTAAAATATTGCTGTGATGCTCTTAAAAATCTTGAAATTTAATTTGATTTAAAATAAAGATATATTGTATATCACAATCCTGTTCTGATTACTTTTCTAAAAACACCCAGGTATTGCATAATTGAAACCACAGATTGCTGCAAAATAGCTTGGTAGATATGAGTAGTTGCCCAAGTTGCAGAAGAGGATGCTGTTGTACACATCATCCTTGAGATAGGATGTAGAAACCCAGACACAGACGGATTGATGATACTCTAGATACCGAGGTATGAAATACTAAGAAAAAAACTTTAAAAAATTTAAAGCTCTACTTCTTGAAATTCTAATTCAATAAGATTAGAGTGAAGAGTTTGTTTCTTCTAAAAGGCATCCATGTTAATTCTGAGGGAATTTGGAAATTATTTAAAGACTTAATGTTTTTCTTTTCTTCTTTCTATAAAATGTTAATAAATATTATACAATGGCCTACTTTTACTTTTCTTCCAAATCTATTCCAAAGCTATATTTATTTGCTTATTTTCATAATAAATATAATACAAGATTGCCCCTTTAAATTTAAATATATTCAGAAACATTTCCTATGAAAAATTTATTATGAGGAAAACAGACAACATATATGCGTAATGAATTTATGCGATAATAATATTTACGTAAATGCATACAGTACATGTATTTTCAGTGTTTAATATGATAATGATACTTCAAGAAATATGATATAATAAATATGATACTTCAAGACATTTTTTACATGAGCAATGCTAGTATCTAATTTTTATCTTTATGATCACATATGTATTTTCAAGATTATTGGTGGTTTTCTTCCTTTACAACTTTTATTTTAGGTTTAGGAAGTACATGTGCAGATTACTTACGTGAGTAAACTGTACATTGTGGGTGTTTACTGTACAGATTATATTGTTACCCAGCTATTGAGCATAGTATCTGATAGATCGTTTTTTGATCTTTACCCTCCTCTCACCTCCATTCTCAAGTAGGCCGTGGTGTTTATTGTTCCCTTCTTTCTGTCCACTTGTTTTTCTGTTTCTGTCTTAATTTGTTTAGGATAATGGCCTCCAATCCATTTATATTGCTGCAAAGGACATTATTTTGATCTTTCTGTGCTAGCATATTATTCCATGTTGTCTGTAGACCACATTTTCTTTATCCAGTCCACCATCAATGGGCACTTATGAGGATAGCACTTCTTTGTTATTGTGAATAGGGCTGTGACAAATACATGTATGCATGTATCTTTATGACAGAATGATTTGTATTCCTTTAGGTATATGCTCAGTAATGGAATTGGGTTGAATGGTAGTTATGTTTTAAGTCATTTGAGAAATCTCCGAACTGCTTTCCACAGTGGCTGAAATAATTTACATTCCCACCAGCAGCGCATAACTGTTCCTTTTTCTCTGTAACCTCACCAACATCTGTTATTTTTTATCTTTTTAATACTAGTCATTCTGACTGGTGTGAGAGGGTGTCTTATTGTGGTTTTGATTTGCATTTTTCTAATGTTTAATGATGGTAAGCATTTTCCATATGCTTATTGATCACATGTATGTCTTTTATTGAGAATTGTCTGTTCGTGTCCTTTGCTCATTTTTTAATGGGGTTATATGTAGAATGGTGGTTGCCAAAGACTTGGGGTTGAGAGAAAGTGGGAGTTACTAATCAATAGATATAAAATTTTAGTTATGAAGGATGATTAAGCACTAAAGATTCACTAAACAACATTGTGCCTATAGTTAATAATACTGTATTATACACTTAAAGTCGGGTAAAATAAAAAAAGAGAATTAACCTTTTATTATATATGGTTTATATATTTTGAGAATTAACCTTTTATTACATATGGTTTACAAATATATTCTCCTATTCTGTAGTTTGCAAAAATAAACTCAAAATGTATTAAAGACTTAAATGTTAAGACCTGAAACTGTGAAACCTGTAGAAAAAACATTAAGGGAAAAGTTTCATGGCATCGGTCTTGGCAATGATTTCATGAATATGACACTAAAAACACAGGCAACAAAACCAAAAATAGACAAATGGGGACTATGTCAAATTAAAAATATTCTGCACAGCAAAGGAAACAATCAACAGAGTGAGAAGGTGCCCTTTGCCCAGTTATAATTAGCCATGCTAAGTAAGAACTTTTGTAATTATCCATGCCCTTCTAGGTAGTAAAATTCAGCAACTGAATTCCAGGCGATGGCATGAGATCTATGTTCTGATTAAGAAAATGGGTGAAGTGGGAGTTTAATTCTCACTACTACATTTTCACCTTTTAAGATACCTCATCTGGCTGGTATAGAAGGCAGTTCCGAGAGATCAAGAGTAGACTGACAAGGATTAAAGAGGTGGTTTCTCTGAAAATTTTAGTAGTACCTGATGTGTACTTATATACCTATGTAACATTTTAAATACTATATAGGAAGTGAAATAGACCAAGCAGGATTGGTGAGCTAATATAGATGTGGCTAATAATTTCTTTATAGTACCAGTTCTGAAGTTCATCCAAGCACAATTTACATTCTCATGAAGTGGAATTCACTATACAGTGATTGTTTAGCCACAAGAATATTTAAATTTGCCACCATATTGTCATAATCTTACCAGAGGTACTAGGGCTTGATAACCACAAAGAGCAGGTTAGTTCCCTATATTGATAATATGATAATTTCCCTCTTCAAAAGAGAAAACTCAAGAGAGTTAAGGACTGTAGTCATCCATATAACAAATAGTCTTTGTCCGATAGATCCAGGTAAAATTCAAGGCAAATTGTTTTGTGAGATTTCTGAGAATTATGTGGCAATAGTAACCAGGGATTTTCCTCACAATGTGAGTAATAATTATCTCTCACTGAGCATGTGTGAAGAAAGAAGCTCAGGGACTAGCAGTGCCATTCAGACTTTTGTAAAATTACTCTCCTCATCCATGAGTTCTTTGGCTCCTCTTCATAAAGTCATGAGAATAATGTCACAATTTGAATAAAACTCTGAGAAAACCAAACATTAAATGACATATTAAGAGTGGTGATACAGGTTATTCCAGCCATTTTATGGCCCAGCTGAGCAGGTGGTGTTCGAAATGTTTAAAACTAGAAAGTAAGAGGAATGGAGCACTTGCCAGAAATCAAGTAAGGCCATCCTACAATGAGGGGACAGGTTGCTATTTAGAAATCAGTGTGTAGAGGGAAATTTATAGCACTAAATGCCCACAAGAGAAAGTAGGAAAGATCTAAAATTGACTCTTTAACATCACAATTAAAAGAACTAGAGAAGCAAGAGCAAACACATTCAAAAGCTAGCAGAAGGCAAGCAATAACTAAGATCAGAGCAGAACTGAAGGAAATAGAGACACACAAAAAAAACCCTTCAAAACATCAAGGAATCCAGGAGCTGGTTTTTTGAAAAGATCAACAAAATTGATAGACTGCTAATAAGACTAATAAAGAAGAAAAGAGAGAAGAATCAAATAGATGCAATAAAAAGTGATAAAGGAGATATCACCGCCAATCCCATAGAAATACAAACTACCATCAGAGAATACTATAAACACCTCTACACAAATAAACTAGAAAATCTAGAAGAAATGGATAAATTCCTCGACACATACACCCTCCCAAGACTAAACCAGGAAGAAGTTACATGTCTGAATAGACCAATAACAGGCTCTGAAATTGAGGCAATAATTAATAGCTTCCAACCAAAAACAGTCCAGGACCAGACAGATTCACAGACGAATTCTACCAGAGGTACAAGGAGGGACTGGTACCATTCCTTCTGAAACTATTCCAATCAATAGAAAAAGAATGAATCCTCCCTAACTCATTTTATGAGGCCAGCATCATCCTGATACCAAAGCCTGGCAGAGACACAACCAAAAAAGAGAATTTTAAACCAATATCCTTGATGAACATTGATGCAAAAATCCTCAATAAAATACTGGAAAAGTGAATCCAGCAGCACATCAAAAAGCTTATCCACCATGATCAAGTGGGCTTCATCACTGGGATGCAAGTCTGGTTCAACATATGCAAATCAGTAAACGTAATCCAGCATATAAACAGAACCAAAGACAAAAACCACATGATTATCTCAATAGATGCAGAAAAGGCCTTTGACAAAATTCAACATCACTTCATGCTAAAAACTCTCAATAAATTAGGTATTGATGGGACGTATCTCAAAATAATAAGAGCTATCTATGACAAACACACAGTCAATATCATACTGAATGGGCAAAAACTGGAAGCATTCCCTTTGAAAACTGGCACACAACAGGGATGCCCTCTCTTACCACTCCTGTTTAATATAGTGTTGGAAGTTCTGGCTAGGGCAATCAGGCAGGAGAAAGAAATAAAGGGTATTCAATTAGGAAAAGAGGAAGTCAAATTGTCCCTGTTTGCAGACGACATGATTGTATATATAGAAAACCCCATTGTCTTAGCCCAAAATCTCCTTAAGCTGATAAACAACTTCAGCAAAGTCTCAAGATACAAAATCAATGTGCAAAAATCACAAGCATTCTTATACACCAATAACAGACAAACAGAGAGCCAAATCATGAGTGAACTCCCATTCACAATTGCTTCAAAGAGAATAAAATACCTAGGAATCCAACTTACAAGGAGAATCCAACTTCAAGGAGAAGTACAAACCACTGCTCAACGAAATAAAAGAGGATACAAACAAATGGAAGAACCTTCCTTGCTCATTGGTAGGAAGAATCAATATTGTGAAAATGGCCGTACTGCCCAAGGTAATTTATAGATTCAATGCCATACCCATCAAGATACCAATGACTTTCTTCACAGAATTGGAAAAAACTACTTTAAAGTTCATATGGAACAAAAAAGAGCCCGCATTGCCAAGTCAATCCTAAGCCAAAAGAACAAAGCTGGAGGCATCACGCTACCTGACTTCAAACTATACTACAAGGCTGTGGTAACCAAAACAACATGGTACTGGTACCAAAACAGAGATATAGACCAATGGAACAGAACAGAGCCCTCAGAAATAATGCCACATATCTACAACTATCTGATCTTTGACAAACCTGAGAAAAACAAGCAATGGGGAAAGGATTCCCTATTTAATAAATGGTGCTGGGAAAACTGGCTAGCCATATGTAGAAAGCTGAAACTGGATCCCTTCATTACACCTTATACAAAAATCAATTCAAGATGGATTAAAGACTTAAATGTTAGACCTAAAATCATAAAAACCCTAGAAGAAAACCTAGGCAATACCATTCAGGACATAGGCATGGGCAAGGACTTCATGTCCAAAACACCAAAAGCAAGGGCAACAAAAGCCAAAATTGACAAATAGGATCTAATTAAACTAAAGAGATTCTGCACAGCAAAAGAAACTTCCATCAGAGTGAACAGGCAAACTACAGAATGGGAGAAAATGTTTGCAATCTACTCATCCGACAAAGGGCTAATATCCAGAATCTACAATGAACCCAAACAAATTTACAAGAAAAAAACAAACAACCCCATGAACAAGTGGGTGAAGGATATAAACAAACACTTCTCAGAAGAAGACATTTATGTAGCCAAAAGACACATGAAAAAATGCTCATCATCACTGGCCATCAGAGAAATGCAAATCAAAACCACAATGAGATACCATCTCACACCAGTTAGAATGGCAATCATTAAAAAATCAGGAAACAGGTTCTGGGGAGGATGTGGAGCAATAGGAACACTTTTACACTGTTGGTGGGACTGTAAACTAGTTCAACCATTGTGGAAGTCAGTGTGGCGATTCCTCAGGGATCTAGAACCAGAAATACCATTTGACCCAGCCATCCCATTAACTGGGTATATACCCAAAGGATTATAAATCATGTTGCTATAAAGACACATGCACATGTATGTTTACTGAGGCACTATTCACAATAGCAAAGACTTGGAACCAACCCAAATGTCCAACAATGATAGACTGGATTAAGAAAATGTGGCACATATACACCATGGAATACTATGCAGCCATAAAAAAGGATGAGTTCATGTCTTTTGTAGGGGCATGGATGAAACTGGAAACCATCATTCTCAGCAAACTATTGCAAGGACTAAAAACCAAACACCACATGTTCTCACTCATAGGTGGGAATTGAACAATGAGAACACTTGGACATAGGAAGGGGAACATCACACACCGGGACCTGTTGTGGGGTGGAGGGGAGGGGAGGGATAGCATTAGGAGATATACCTCATGTAAATGACGAGTTAATGGGTGCAGCACACCAATATGGCACATGTATACATATGTAACAAACCTGCACATTGTGCACATGTACCCTAAAACTTAAAGTATAATATAAATAAATAAATAAAATACACGTTGATTTGCTTAAAAAAAAAGAAATCAGTCACACTGTACCTTACAGTAGGTAAAATCTCAGTGGAAGAAGCCACCCACAAATCTGCACAGTGGACAGAATTGAGATCCACTTAGCAGGAGAAGAGAATTTAGGCTTATGTCTTAAGGGGAATGTTTTTATATTTGTAGGCTCTTGAGCTATATAATCAATGGCCTCGTTACAGTATGTTCAGGTAAATGAGTCTTTTAAAAAACATACCCTCATAGGAAACACTCATTTATGGAAATCTCTGGAAGACTTAGAGTAATAATTTAGATGTGTTATGGAGATGCCAATAAAAATGTCAGTTGCCACCTCAGAAATCAAATTGAATGCTAAGGCAGAATTGGTCAAATCTCTACAGCAGGGATGCAGATGTTCAGGCCATGCACCAGTGTGCTGATAGATGCCATATTCACCTTGCATCTAATGAATTCCCTAATATAAAAAACTGTACCCACTGTCAACAAGAAAGGAACTGCTGGAAAATGTCTGTGAGTAAAATTTCTCTCAAATAAAAGTCCATAGATAGCTGACAAGGATATTTCATTGGAAATCTACCCAAAGGGCTATAAATTGTGTTCACTATGGTTGATATTTTATCTACCAAGCTTTGGTTAACTAGAAAAGGATCAATCTTGGAAAATATGACATTGTTTAGAACAACAAATTTTCTATCAGTATGGTCTACATGAATATATTTTTTTACAGTCAAAGTTCATACTACTATGAACTATTCTAAGGATTTACATATATATTATAAGCAATTAAGTGTTACATATGTATACATTTACATATATTAACTCTTTTAATACTACAGCAATGCTATGAGCAACATACTATTAATATCTAACTTTGGAGATGAAGAAACTGAGTCACAGTGAGAGGTTAAGTGGTTTTCTCAATGTCCTGCAGGAAGTTAGTACCAGAGCTTTTAAAGCCTGGCTTTGGATACCCTGCTCCTAAGCACATGCTATGATGCCTCTCCAGAGTCAGACATGGATCAGAATTTTGAAAAAGCAGTTTAGCAATATATACTGAGAATTTTTAAAAGCAAAACCATTTTTTGGCACATTTTTATTGTTTCAGTTTTTATAACAGAGAAAAACACAATACAAAAAAAATTGGCTAGCTATATGGAAATGATTATGTAAATTATAGTAAACCCCAAAATATATGAATATGCCAATATTAAAACAGAATTTTTTGATATTATAATTTTAAACAATTAATGAATGAGTAGAAACACAATTGTATGTTCAGTATGATTGTCACTATGTAAAAATCACCTCATTAAATTTAAAACTGTAATGAAATGGCACAAAATATTTGATAGTAAATGTATTTGGGCTAAGGTATTGCATCATTTATTTCTTCTCTTGATTTTTATGCATTTACCAAGTTTAAAATAACAAACATTTTCTTTCAAATGGAAAATAATTTCTTGAAATTACTTGCTTTTATTCTTTATATATTTGCTCAAACATAGGAAAAATGAGTTATTTCCTATCTACATTCATCTCTTCCCAAGTAACCAACTGATCCATCTACATTATTTTTTAGCTTAAGGGAATATTTCAATATTCATGCACACATATTATTTGAGGAAAATTATTGTAACTCAAAGAAAGTTGTGTCCTCATTGCTTGATTTTGTTTTGGAATGTCTTATGCTGTATTCAACTGTAATTTCCTTTTTTTTCTAACATGGAGAGGAAAAGAATAATGGGTATCTAAGTAGTTTCCAATAAACTGCCAAGATCTCTTACCAACACATAGATTATCTCTTTCTGTTTAGTTCAATGCCTATATTTTACATTGTTGCAGTGGACAGCTGAAAAATTGATTATATTCTCTGTCATTTCTATAAATTCATTTTTTGATAATATTGTTACTTTGTAGGAGGAATTGTGGCTAGACATGGCCCAAATAGGCAATTTTCATATAGAATGCTAGAAACCACAAAATTCATCTTGATTGAATATATACTAACGGCATTAATCTAAGTGAAATAAATATGATAAGTATCCAATATTTAAATATCAGGCAATTAGTGAAGCTGAATTAACATTGTTGGATTAACACACTTAGTAAATAACACAATCAGTAACAAGGAGAGAAAAGGTGTCTGAATTTTCAAGGAATTATCTGCTTCTTTGAAATGAATTTTTATATAGTTTAAAAATGTTGAAAGCTGAAAAGTGGTGGAAGCAGTTGATAAAAATAATGAATAACATGGTTTAATGTGTTAACAGTACATATGTGTAAGGAATGTTGCTTGCTATCTGACTCAAAAAATTTAACATATACTTTCACTGGTAAAAATATCTATTCTGTAGAAGATGTTTCACAAAAAAAAGCCCTATTTCTTAAACTCAAATTCTTCCTTTTTCAAGTAAGTGCAGTGCTGAAGGTCTCCTTTCTGTAATAAGTTCTAAAGATCTCCTTTCTGTAATAAATTCTGAATGTGGTTTAAAAAATAAAGTAATTTTTTTGTCTATTTGCTGTTTGGATTTTATAACCAAAACAAACAAAAATATCTACTACATTTCTTGTGTTTTTCATCATACAAACAAGAGTTTTGGAATATTGTTTGTTTATATTATGTACTATCTAAACAATGTTATTTTAATTTTAATAAAATCCTTTGGTGTTTGACTTCACTGTTTCATAAAAATTAAAAAGGAAAATAATTAATTTTATTTTATTAAATGAAAATACATGCTGTCTTATCAAAAGAGCAAATACTGAGTATTCAACATTTTTATTAAATAGAATTGAATTTCTTCTGTTTTTTTCATATGCAAGTTTAAATAATATAAAAATTAACATTAGGAAAATATTTGCTATGCCAGTTCTTGCCATGAGGAAATATCCTGTGAGATTTTAAATGTTTTTCTTATGTCGACATGACGTGTTACCACTATTGATGATCCTAAATAATTATTCTATTTTCTAAATATTTTTGTATTCAAATAAGACATTTATAAAATTGCTACTGGCTTGCTGTGTAACCTGGAGCCATTCACTTCACCTCTCTGTTTCTTTTTTTTTGTACATATTTCGTTTTATTGTAACAAAGCAACTTGTACACTTTTAACAACTGAGCATCATCTTTCCTTTTCAGTGAAACAAAAAAAAAATTAAAAATAAACAGAAACAAAATTACAATAGAGAGTGTCAATTCCAAATAAGATTCTACAGGTTCTGCTGATAATCCCATTGAGTGGCAGGGCTCAAGTCATCATTAGGAGAGAATTTGTTTTAAAAGTGTCATCTTAATCTGTCAAATATCACAATTAAACACACCAAAGGAGAAGCCATGTTGTCAAAATACCCACTTAACTCACCCTAACATCTCAAACCCAGCCTTTGCTGACCTTCTGTAACCCCATTTTTCAAGTTTTTTTTTTCTTTTTTTAAACAAGAGAAAGTTGTCAGATACATGTTGGTAAATGCTAACTGTCCATATTCACATAGAGACACAATGTACTCTCTGAGCCCAATATACAGAGAAAGGAGGAAAAAAGCTGGAACTCTATGCACTGCTACACAGGGGCCTAGCACCCTCCAGCTTCCAGCAGAGATAAGGGAGCAGGCTTTTCTTTTTCCCACAGAGCTCGATGCTATTTGGCCAAACCCATTATGGCACTTCTTGATTGCCAATATGGATAATGAAGAAGGAGAAGGAGAAGAAGATAATGATGATGAAGAGGAGGAAGGATTAGAAGATATTGATGAAGGGGATGAGGATGAAGGTGAAGAAGATGAAGATGATTATGAAGGGGAGGAAGGAGAGGAGGATGAAAGAGAAGATGACTAATAGAACACTGATGGATTCCAACCTTTCTTTTTTAAAATTTTCTCCAGTCCCTGGGAGCAAGTTGCAGTCTTTTTTTTTCTCTTGTGCTCAGTCACCGTGTTCTTGAAGTCTCTTTTCTCTACACCATGGTTCTCAACTTATTTTGGAGACAATACCTTGAGCAGAATACAATGGGAAAAGAGTCTCTACCACTTTATGTTGGAAATTCATTTTTATCTCTTCCTGTCTGAATAAAAACTGTATGGAATTGACACCTCTCTGTTTCTTGATAGTAATCAGACTAAGATGAATTATCCATGCACGCTTTGCTATTTGCTAGCATAGAGAGAATATAAGAGAACCTGTAAATCAAAGTAGGTGTTAAAATGTGTCATACAAATTCAAATTGTTATTTAAATATGTAATCCTATACAGTAAAGTCTGTCAACAGTTGAATTAAATGATAAACTTGGATATTTGAAAGTAATTTTTAAGAAGTTTAGAAGTTAAAGTAGATCAGGAATTTCCCCAATTCAGAATCCATAGTAAACGATTACAGAGGAGAACTGGAGAATAAGCTTTTATTTAAAGTTGAATCCAATTTTCTTACATTTAACTATCTTTGCTTTTTTTTTTTTCAGAATGACATTACATTTCTTTATAAAAAGGAAAACAACCACACTTTTCCATAAATAACTATTATGATTGGTTGAGTCATTATTTCTAACTCTTTGGTGACTCCACTGGGAATCAGGATTCTTGATTTCTAATCTTAGCTAAGGCACTAAATAATTAGTTGTGCCTTGATAAATTCAGCTACACAGTTTGGACCTCACTTTCTCCATATGAAAAATGAAAATGAAAGAGGAGCGTAGAGCAAATGACTTCTAGGAGTTATTTCAGAGTTAGCATTTTATGATTTATAATCATTCAACTATTGCTATAGCCTTGTTTATTCTACCTGAATTAAAAAAAATGGACACATGCATTGATTTAAAAATAAGAACTAGTTTAGGAGCCAACTTCCTGTATTGTATTCAAGATGGTACCAGGTTCTATATGCATAGTCCCTTCAAGAGACAGAAGGATAAACTAACTTGTAAAACATCTCGTAGAGACATGACCAGGTCATTTTGAAGGGAAAATTTTTGGGTGAATCTCTAATGTTTGGTTTGATCTCATTGTGAATGACAACCATGTTCTCTGTGAAGAGTGCTTGATTCCATACTATTAAAGGCCAAGACCACAAGTAGTTATTTGTCTGATAGCACTTTTACAATATTTTGTCCTTGAATTTTACAAATTGAATTTAGAAATGAAACTTAGTCTTTGGATCAACCAAAGTTTAACCCTAACATGCCCATATTCCAAGCATGTTTTTGTTGCTTTTGTCACAAGTGCTGGCTTAATTTATATTTCATCTGCCTTTAGGTCTCCTTCAAGTTCATTGTTTTCCAAATATTCCTTTCCATTTAATATAGGATTTTTTATGGTCAGCTGCATTCATTTGTTAGAACACTACTGCCTTTCTTCACCATATGTGCATTCTTAATAAATTACTTGTGGCCAGTCAATCATGAACCATTTATAATTTAAGCCATTTATAATTTAAGCCTTACCCACATACCAAAGATTTGACTGTTATTCATGTGCTCCTTTATCTGCTTTTACTTGCAAACTAACCATCATTCGCTCCACCAGAAGCAATCATCCACCATCTGTCAATCTGAGACTCACTTGTCTCTGAAACTGAAGCTGGTGTTTATTTTGCAGGTATTATGAGCACCTCTCATCTGACACCTTTCTGTCCCCTCTCCATTCATTTTTTCTATTGTTAACAAGCATCCTTTGTGATATTTTCTATGTGTTGTGACTTGTCTTCTACATAGATATTTTCAGCATGACTACGTTTTTGAAAGAAAAAGTGGTGTCATCTTATTCACCTTGTCATTAAGTATATCTGAAAGCAATGGGAACTTTGCCAGAATGCGAAATACAGCAGTAATTCATTGTAAATAATTTTTCTCTGTTTTGTTATAGAAAGAGAATGAGTGTGCTAATTAGATGCAATAATTCAGATTACATGAATTAATTGATGAAGAAAGTTATTTTTACCTTGAAAAATAATGCTATTTTCCTGTCTGTAACCCTCTTGTGTTGTGTTCACATGAATCTCAGGTGAAAACCATAAATAAGTAAATCTGAACATGAAATATACTCCTGTTTTTTGTATGTTAATATTTGAGTGTGTGTATGTAGAAATAAATGTCAAATTAAATGGGATAATATGCATAGTTTAATATGCTTCTATTAGCTCAGAAATGCTATTGTAAGAAAAAAGCCTTCTCATAACATGGAGGTAGAAAGCATATAATATAGACTACATCTGAGCAGTTGACAATCTAACTAAACGTGAAATGCAACAGATATTTTGTTCAGTGTTAAAGGTTGCTATATGGAATACATCTTTGTCTTAAGAGCAATTGATAAAATGATAACTCTACCACCATGCCTTACCACACACAGTGAGTTAATAAAAACATTCACTGAAATACATTTTATGCCATAATTTTCATATAAAATATTTCTCTATTTTTCATTTTCAAGACCACTACCAACTTCCCAGAAAGAACTGTGAAAGACTTAATGAGACATTTATCTGGTCTATGTATTTTATATTTAGCTGATAATATAATGAGGCCAAGGTACTGGAATGAAACGTCTCTAACATTTCAAATAATTTTCCACTTCCTCTCCACTATTTTTGGTATTTCAGCAGAGTGTTTTAACTTTTTGCTGTTTTGAATGTTACCATTGCCGTCAATAATCTCTATGTCAGATGTAGTATCCTGCCTGCTAAATCTTATCCTAAAAAATACATTTCTCTTTATTTTTAAGTATATGGTTAAAATGATTGCAGCCTAATAAGCAAAGCAATATATTTTGAATTTGATTTTTCTATAATGCTGCATGGGTTTTTTTAGCTGACCCTAATGCTGTTTTCTCATGCACATTTTATAACTGTATTACAGAAAGCAGACTTTTTAATGGTTCTGCAATACTTTTATAAATGTATATGCATATTCCTCTACATCTCCCCTCTCTCTCAAATATATAATTACCCACTGATAATCTTATAAAAATGTAAAATATTTTCATTTGACATTTCATATGTTTGAAATACAGGAAATATTTATTACATGTGGTAGCAATTGAAAATCAACATATTAAAATAAGAAGCACACAAAATTGTAACATCCGAAAATCAACATATTAAAATAAGAAGCACACAAAATTGTAACATCCTTTAAAAATTTATATCTTCCTTTAAGTATTTTCACATTGCTTTAAAAAGAAAAATTAAAATATCATAGAAAAAATTGTCATTCATTCTCTTAAACATTTTTCTCCTCCTTATTCCATTTTTCTTATTTCATATTCCATCAGTCTGTAACCAAAGATTGAAACATGAATCTTGATGTAATAGAAAGAAAATGTTTCTTTTTTCTACACTCTGCCAAAATAAGAAAAGGAATACATATGAAATTCCTGTATACATTTTAAAACTGTATGCAAATAAAGTTGTTATTAGTTCATTTATTTTCACAGGCAGCTTAGTGAAACATGTAAGAATCATGTTCAAAATTGGGGCGTGAATTGTGCTTCCAGAACAAGTTACTCGTTTTCTGCTTCATTTTTTCAATCAGTAAAATGAGAGGTAATAATAATAACCAGACTATATTCTTCACAGGATTACCGGGATTTGGGAGGTGATGTAGTACATTTGGCAGTATATTGTAAGCTGTGAACCATTTTAAACACATAACAAATTATTTGACTTTTATTTCTAGAAAAGTGATTTGTATGCTCAATTCAAGTGTGCAGAATGAAAAATTAAGAAAAACCACATGTAGAAAGAATGGCATCAAAGTACAGCTTTCACTTGATCTTTTCCTATTTTGCTTAAGAATTCCATACATTAACAGTAAAAATTTAAAAATATGGATCCTTGACATTTCCTAAAAGTAAAGGAAATAGGTGAGAGTATTGCATAAATACTATTTTGAATAGGATGCATAAAGGAGGTTAAGTAAAATTTTACCAAATTCATAAAAGATGCAGAAAAATTACAATCATATTTCTTATCAAAATTTCATGGTTCCAAGATTGAAACACTCTCTTGTTTCCTGACTCAGCATGGAAATCTGATGTTTTCCTTTCCTTGGATGATTTTGAGATACAATTGAGTGCACAGAATACATTAGAATACATTTGCAATTTGATTCAGGAATTCCCTTTTCGTATTTGGGCAGAAATGTCAGAGACACTAGAAAAATGATGCTAAGAAAGTAAAAATGGAAAAGCTAAAGTTTTTATTAAATAGTCTGAGATAAAACAATAGTTTGAATAACCATTTACCTCGTGATTTTGGGTTATTTACTGCAAATAAGGTATGTAATAGAAAAATTAAAGAATAAGAAACTATTAGACATTGGGTCTATAGGCAAGTACAGAGGAAAATCATTATATGTCAGAAATAGAATTGTATTCTTAGAAGAAAAAGAAATAGTCCCAGGACAGCTGAGAGGGGTAATTCTGCATCGCGTTCATGAAACCCTGAGTGCAGTCCTCCTGGGTAAAGAGAAAACTCCACAGAGATTGCCAACATTGAGTTGGCCCAAAATGACAGAGGACACGAAATGTGGACAAAAAATGTTTAACATGTGCTCAAGTAAATTCCCCTCTGCCAAAAGGAAATTCAAGTATGAAGAATCAACTCCCCAATGGAAAATGATACAAATTGATTTTTAGGGCCCTTTCCAACTGTACATAAATAGAAAAGTGCATGTTAGTAGTTGAAGATGGATTTTTCCAATTGCATTGGGAACTTCTCTATGAATAGGAGCAAATCAGTGGAAACTGTCAGTGAATAAACGCACAGAAATATTCTAGACTGACATTTAGAAATATTCAGACTAAATGGTCATAGAATCCTATTAATGTTTTTCTGATAAGCTTTCGCAAATTGTGACTATGTAAGACATCATAAAGTAATGAAATATTCAATAATTCCCCAGGAGGTTGATTTTAATAATTATTGCTGTATCATCTTACTGGACAAGCTTTGAGCTTTCAAAAAGAAACAATTGAGTGATTAAGATAACAAATTTGAAAAATTTTTGTAATAAATTAATTACCCTTTGGCTCAAATGTCTGGCATTTTGTTTTAAAAATTCAGCCAACTATTAACATAATTTTGTTTCATGTATAATAATTTACAGTCTTAATTTCACTTTTTCTGGTTTTCTACTTTTTAGCACTTCTTTAATTTCTTCTTCTAACAACTGTGAAGTGGTCAAAAGGCAGAAATGAGGAGGAAAGCAAAAAAGAAGAAGCCACAGGGTGTAGATAATCCACAAACAAGCTAATTGGTCCCTGGGTAATTGCTGACTCTCTTCAGCAGCCATGCAATGGAGATTTCCAGGAAAATGTAAATACTGTATTTATATCTGTTCAAATTTTGTTTTCAAGAATAAAAGTACTAATCAGATGGGTTTAAGTATTTGATAAGAATCTCTAATCTATGGCTGTTTTCTAAATATTTGGACATTGTCATTGCTTTACCATGCAGTTTTATTTTTACTCAGCTGTAACTGAACACAATTCTAACTATAGCACTGGAAACTAGATTGGAAACTGTATTCTCCTCTGTGCCTTATTTCTCTTCTCTCTTCGTATTGTGGTTCTTACTCAGTTCTGTCAGTGACAAGCTATATAACCTTGTTCAATTATTTTACCATCATTAGACAAAAGGGTTTTAATTTCCTAAATACTAATATATTACAACATAAAGGTGTTTATGCATTCTTAAAAAAAATTAAAGGGTGTCTATTTCATGACAGTTACTTGGCTTCATCATGGAAGAAACACAAGTGATGGCTAAATCACAATACCTGTTTTAAAGAACTAACATTCTAGTAGGGGAAAAAGGGGGTGAAGACAAATGACAATAATGAGAAACCCTACAATTTCTACTTGAAATTGTGAAAACAAAATACAAAGAGAGAACTTCAACTCGTAAAGGGGCAGTGGATAAAACTTTATTGAGAAAATTGTATTTGATCTGGGCTTCCAAAGATTGTGAAAATTTTGACAGGCTGGGATGTCACAGACAATGGGAAATTATGAAGAATGAAAAGGAAGATGGAAGCTGTAGAGTTGGGAAGAACAGAGAATTTTTAGGAAAATGTGCGTAGTATTGTTTGGTTGAAGCCCTTAGTATATGTAAATGAGTTGTTGGACACAGGTTGTAAAGGCAAGCTGGGGCTTTTAAATTCAGGAACAACATGATTTGATAGCGAATTTCTTTTTTTTTTTTTTTTTTTTAGCAAAGCAGTTGTTCTTTATAATTATTTAACTTAATATCACATGTGGTATCAATAAGGAAAAGAGACTGGATAGGTAAGGTCAGTGAGGAGGCTGTTTCAATGGCCTTTTAGAAAGGCTATTGGAAACTGAATTGGGACAGTAGTAATAGAAATTGTAAAAAAAGAATAGATGTAAAAGGTACTGTAACTGTAAAAGACAAACTACTTAAAGTGTAAACAGACACGTTTTCTATATAGAGGGAGAATAAAAATATTAATATTTCAAGCTGGTTGAGTGGAGAATGATGGTTCCATTACATGAAATAAGAAGATCCAAAGAGGAATGCATGTGTAACAAAGTTATTTGTAATTGTGGACACTGAGTACAAAGCACTAATAATTAACCAATTGATCACTGAATGATGTGTACTTGAGTTTTTGGAGAGACTTTAATGTTGGAAATAATATCTTTGGTCAAACTATAAAAGAGGATGAACTAACCAAAAATATATAGGCAAGAGTGAGGATATAGCCTTAGAATAATGCCACAATTTGGAAGTTTGAGAAGAAAATATGACACACAAATTACACAGAGAAAGCATCAAAAGAGAACACAAGTAGTAAATGTTCCTAGAAATAAGAAAAAGAGAGGAAAAAAATGTAGCAGACAGATAAAAAGAGCTAAAGGAACAATGACGGTAAAATTTACAAATCTTTTAAAGATTTACCATGCAATTTGAGTAACCAATGCTAAAATTATCCTCTAAATTTCAACCTAGATGTTTTTAGTGAATAATGTTTATTATCACAGCAAAGGTGTATTTAAAAATTTTAGTATGAGTGCCAGACTAGTATTGAGGCTATGAATGGAAACATGGATGTGAAAAAATGCTAATTATAAACATGAACCATCTTGGTCTTTAATAAATACAAAACCTCAACAGTCTAGGATGGTTAAAATTTGCTACTGTTCATTGTCTTATCCCTAGAACGATCCCTCTTGAAGATACCTATAGACATATTGTATGAAATGTTTCTTTTATAGTGATACAAGAAATGATTATATAACTTCACATCCCATTTGAATTCCCGGAACAGTGACATGATATTTAATGCATTTCAGTTAAAGACAAGTTGTTGCAAGCCTATTTCTTGTAAGCATATTTTTGGTAAATCTATACAAACTAAGGTGGAAGCCGGGGGTTAAGAGTGGGGAGTGGCATGCAAGGCTTATACAGGTTCCCAGTGCAGAAAGTCTAGAGGTAACATGTCTTGGAAACTTTAGTTTAATACTGACTTGATTCTACAGTTTATCTAGTCTAGAGGATTCCAAGAAATAGATTCTAGTGACCAGTGAGTGTTTGGAAATCATAAAGATATTTGGGGTCTTTTAGAATGAAACTATCTTGGGATCATCTTATGTTTTCCTGGATAGGCATTGTAAGTATGTGCTTTAATGGTTTACAAATACCAGAAATGGCTTTGTGTTTCAGATCTGCTAAACAGAGATTGGTATATGTGATGGTACAAAGACACAAAATATAATTTAACTATATTGTTTCTACATTTCTTTTTTAATTAAAAATTTTTTGAGACTGAGTCTTTCTCCATCACCCAGAATGGAGTACAGTTGTGTGATCATGGCTTACTGCAACCTCAACCCGTGAGGCTCAAGAGAATTCCCCACCTCAGCCTCTGAAGGACCTGGGACTACAGGCACATACCACCACACTTAACATAATTTTTTACTTTCTGTAAAGATGAAGTCTCTTTGTGTTGCCTAGGCTGCTCTCAAACTCCAGGACTCAAATGACCCTCCCACCTCAGCCTCCCAAAGTGCTAGAATTACAAGCATGAGCTACCATGCCTGGACTATTTTTCAGTATTTTAAAGAAAAATACATGCCTAGCCATTTTTGGTTTAGAATTTTTCACCACTGATTGCCCACTTAACAACAATAACAATTTTTTACCACTGATTGCTCTCTCTTTGAAGAACTGTCCCAACTCTATACGTGAAAGGACATAATTCACATAAGAGGTTATTTGTTACCTGTGAACACATTAACTTGACTGCAACGCAGAGGAGTATAAATAACATAATTAATTAGAATTAATTTCCAAGAAGCTATGGAATAAAACTATGAAATATGAGGAATAAGGGTATCTATATGACCTCCTAGTTACAGCTGTGCACCTCTCAATGTTATCCTTCAGTATTTTGTTCTCACACTTATCATTCTCCTCAAACATAATTAACCTTGGAGCTCATGACTATGTCTCATTCTTCCCTCACTGTCATACACATTAGACAGACTCCAATTCAACATCTTTGATAAGATATGCTAGGTAAGATTTATTGAGGCTTTTCTGAGTGTTGGGCATTAGAAAACAAACAAAACCCTCATTTAATTCTTAAAAGTACTCAGAATAATGAAGAGTCTGATTTCATTTTTGATGTTTGACTGCTGATAGCTTTCAGGCCCCACTTCTCTTCTCCTTTTCTGCATCACATCTGAGAAAGGTGATATGAAAGCCAGGGATCCAGGGACTCCCTCCTTTGAGTTTACTTAAGTGGTCCAAGAATTCATACCTAAGAGGGGGCAGAGTCTGCATTTAAACTCAATTTGATTTCAGAGTCCAGGCTTTGACTGCTACACTAATTTACTTCTCTTATTTCTTCCAATGAAAAAGGTTCTCAGATGAACGTGAATAATCATGGCATTATACCTGAACAAATTAAAATATGTTAGGATAATAAAATGAGTAATATGAGCTTAGAGATTTGGTAGTGATATTATCTAAGCAAAATGTTCATCGTGCTCTTAATACCTACATTTTATAATTAACATTCTTTATAGGTATATTTGTGCATAATTTATCTTCCAATAACTAAAAAAAGAAATATTTCAGGGGCTCAAATGACTTTCATATATTACTATTGTCTGTCAATTTAAATTAATTGCATTAATTTATTAATCTTGATTCTTTTTTTAAGAGTACAACTACCTGTGCTTAAATTTATTTTTATGATTTAATAAGTTGTTACCTGAGTAAAAAACATTCAATGACATAGGATTCGGGCCTAGAAGATTTTTTTTCTTACTTTCTGCTTTAGCTGCTCATCTTCAACTGTCAACACAATCCAATCTTTACCAGCACCGTTAGAATTGACATTGGAATCTGCAGCAGTATTTGTCTTAATCCAATATTTGTCTCATTGCCAGTTCTTACTCTCAGTATTTACCTTATTCCCGAGTGTTTTAATTTTTGTATTTGTTATGCCTTTTCTTCTCCCAAAGACTCATCTTATCAGGTTTTCTCTCATTGCATCTGTAAATGACGGTGCAGTGTATGCATGTGTAATGCAGGACATTGCAAAGTTCCAAATAGAGACTAGATGAGCTCAGCAGGTGAATTCCAAATTACCAAGCCATTGCTCTCAACTTTCATAAATTTAAGCAGCAGTGACAAATAGTCACTGCTATGGGCTTGGCTAGACTTCAGGCCTGGAGGAAAATAATGTAATTATTAATAGATAGTCAATTATTGCAGCATTAACCTTTGTCTCCTTCCTTCCTCTCTCTCTCCTTTCTTTCCTCTTTGCTTTCTTCCTTTCTTCCTCCCTCCTTCCCTCGCTCTTTCCCTCCCTGCTTGCCTGCCTCCTTCCTTCCTTCCTTCCTTTCTCATTTCTGCTCTTCCCAAATGTGAGGAATATTTGCATGAGAAATTTTATATTGTATTACTTAAACTATGTTAATATAGACCAAGAGAAGGGCAAACATATCAAAACTCACACACTTGTACAGTTAGATACAACTCATGGAATGGCAAGATAAAAGAAAGTCTTTATATTATTATATTTCATATAATACAATAAAAGCAAGGATACTGGATTTATCATAAAAATAAAATCGTGGAGTAGTCTTCATGGCATAGAACTTTTGATCATGATTTATGCTAAAAATTAATTGTAGTAAATATACTTTAATGAATACTGAAACACAAAATAATTTAGTAAATTTGTTCTTACTTTACAAATTGGATTTAATTTCCCTCTCAAAAATTAATTGAAAACCACTTTTAATTTGCATAAATAAATGTACCTGGTGTGTGTGTGCATGTGTAAACAATTCTTTTAACTTGATAGGAATGATACAACTGAATAGAAAGAAAAAGTAATGATGTAGGAGTGAAAGGGTTGCATTATGGCAGGAGTTGATTTTCTGATAGCCTTAGAAAATGTGTACAGGGAAAGAAGGAAGATAAAATCTGTGAATATCTAATCAAGATTATGAGTCTTTCTTTCACTGAAGGTAAGTGTGACTCGTGATGTACGTGCACAGTTAAAATCCACATGCTGAAAAGGAATAAAGTGATTTTTTTCATATTGTATACTTTATTCAATGAAAAAATAGAATCGATGTACGTAAGCTAAGTCTAACAGCATTGCTGATGTAATTTTTCTTAAAAAGAGATATTTTTACCTTGTACCAGTGGCAAAATGATGATGAGAACAGAATCTAGCCGGGATGGTCCTGCAGAAGCCCCATGAGGAATGACTCAGATTTTAAAAAGGTACTCGGGGAGATTTCTATGTCCTTCCAAAGGGAATCCTCTCTACTTAAATCTCCAACACCTCTCCCAATCTCATTTTCAGATGTATATTTCAGTGATAAAATTGAGCCAAATAAAAGAGAACCTTCAGCAACTTATCCGCCTAAGCCATTTGGTGCAAGGAGGTCTGCTCTTCCTGGATTTCTTAAACATTTGCGTATGTTAGGGCTGTGCTTTCTTCCACTCAGCTTGGGACTGGAGAAGGGATAAGGGAGAAGCACAGTGGATAATCTCCGGCAAACAGGGTTGATAGGAAGAGACATATTAAAACACTTCTGTAGTTGAAGGATGAAGAAAAACACTGAATGATGTGCTGCAATGTCAAATATTAGATACAGAGAATCTGCAATATAAAGGGTAGACCCAAAATGATATATCACACTTGCAACTTATCTGGAGATTGAGAAAGCAGTGGTTCTTGGTCATTCTTATGAAAACTTTGGTCCAGATGTGGTGACTCACGCCTGCAATCCCAGCACTTTGTGGGTCCAAGGCGGGCAGATCGCTTGAGGTCAGGAGTTCAAGACAAGCCTGGCCAAAATGGCGAAACACCATCTCTACTAAAAATACAAAAATTAGCCAGGTGTGATGGCACATGCCTGTAATCCCAGCTACTCAGGAGACTGAGGCATGAGAATTGCTTGAACCTGGGAGTGGGAGGTTACAGTGAACTGAGATAGTGCCACTGCACTCCAGCCTGGGGGACAGAGCAAGACTCCATCTCAAAAAAAAAAAAAAAAAAAAACACACACACACACACACGCAAAAGAACTTTGTATTTCATTGAGCATACTTCTGGGTCCTACATGTATTACTTATACCAATAGTTGAGAAGCTATATTAGGAAATTAGTCACCAGATGTTTGGATTGTGATCTCTATCAGCTAAAATGAAATTTGGAGTACATTTTATAAACTTATTTATCATCTATTACAATATTAAACACATATCTATATTATAGAACATACACAAATAAAATATGAAAGAGAGTAGAACACTATTGCTTGACTGTTTGCTCTCCAGTGATGGACTTCCTGTCATCATGTATTGCTACCTTAAGAAGGTGCATACCTGACTTTGGAGACCACTACTTTAAAGCAAGCATCAGCAAAGTACAGGTCGATTGGCAAATCTCGCCTGCCACTTGATTTTTGTACTGTTCACTAGGTCAAAATGCTTTTTGCATTTCAAAAAGTTTTGGCCATCGTTGGTGGTGCAGGTCTGTTGTCTCAGCTATTTGGGAAGCTGAGGTGAGAGGTTCTTTTAAGCCCCAGAGTTGGAGGCCAGCCTGGAAAAAATCATGAGACCCCACTTCTAAAATAAATTTTTTAATGGTCGGAAACAAAAATAAAACTATGATTTTATGGCATATAAAAATTAGATGGCATTTTTCAATAAATAAAGTTTTATCGACACAAAGTCACGCTCACTTGTTCGTTTATTTCCTATGGTTGCTTTTTGGCAACAATGGTAGAAATGTGTAGCTGTGACAGAGAGGGTGTGGCCCACAGAGCCTTAAGTATTTACTATATGACTCTTTACAGCAAAAGTTTGCTAACCCCTTATTTAGAGGATAATGCCTTGCTCCATATAAACTCCTCCTCCTCAGATTATACAAACTACCTTTACACTCAAGACCTTTGTTTTCTCTCTGTCCTTTTCTGTATTCTGGAGTTGACAGTCAAGTCAAATGATTCTGATATGGTTTGGCTCTGTGTCTCCACAGAAACCTCATCTTGAATTGTAATCCTCAATGTTGGGAGAGGGATCTGGTGGGAAGTGACTGAATCATGGTGTGATTTCCCCTTGCTGTTCTTGTCCTAGTGACTGAGTTCTCATGAGATCTGCTTGTTTAAAAGTGTGTAGCACTTCCCCCTTTGTTCTCTGTCTCTTCCACCCTTGTGAAAATGTGCCTGCTTCCCCTTTGCCTTCTGCCATGATTGTAACTTTCTGAGGCCTCCCCAGCCATGCTTCCTGTACAACCTGCAGAACTGTGAGTCAGTTAAACCTCTTTTATTCATAAGTTATCCAGTCTCAGGTAGTTCTTTATAGCAATGTGGGAACCGATTAATACAATCCTAAAGGTTGATAAAGTGCTCACTGGTGCTCATATGAAATTGGTGTTTTCTTTGAATAAAAATATACAAAATGAACCTAGAACAACTAGAAACTGTTATTGATTTTTCGTTCCAACCCCAAAAAGTTACCCACATTGTTCACTCTGTTTCTCTGTGCCTCTTCTCTAACTTTATCAATGCATCTTCAGATAACTTGTCCTCCATTGATGGACTTTCTTGTCTTCTTGCCGCCCTTTCCTTTGAACAATGGGTAACACCAGAAGATTAAACAATTGAATGAGATATGTATTACATAGTTTCCCCCATAGGTTGGCTGAATCCATACATTGGGCATGAGATTATGGAGACATAAGACAAACTTGCAGATTAACATTTCTTTGGATATTTTTGTGTAAAACCCACAAATGTAACACTTTAATTTTATAGTAGATTATTTTTAATATTGCACCAAACTTATTTTTTTAGAATCTATTTTTTAATAAATATTTACTGATTTTATACGTGTTTGAGACTGGCAGAGAGTGATCCTTAAGCTACATCTTTACATAATGAAAAGTGCTAAGTATTAATATGTAAAATTTGTATTTTCTTTACATTTACTTTAAGTTATTGCCCTCCAAAATCAGGTATGCACCTTCTTAGGGTAGAAATACTTGATGACAGGAAAGCAATCACTGGAGAGCAAACAGTCATGCATAGTGTTCTACTCCCTTTCATATTTTATTTGTGTATGCTTTATAACATAAATGATAACTTTTCTTCTTTTAGAATCTCCTTCTGGACTTCCCTTCTATTGAAAAATGACTCTTTCTTTTCTCTATATCAAAAATCGATAACACAAAAGACTAGAACTTAATTTATATGAACATGTCTAGATTGTATTTGCATATTGTTATCCGTATAGGTTTCTTGTTATGTTTCATATATTTGGAAAGATAACAAAATGATGAAAAAATTATAATAGATTATAAAATTATTTGAGGCTGGCCATGGTGTTGGGTACCTATAATCTCACCACCTTGGGAGGCCATGTTGGGTGGATTGCTTAGACCCAGGAGTTGAAGGCTGCAGTGAGCTATGATTGCACCACTGCATTCTAGCCTGGGTGACACAGCAAGACTGTATCTCAAAAAAAAAAAAAAAAAAAGAAAAGAAAAGAATTAATTGGTTTAAAAATACACTTTATGTTCCATATATGTAACATTGCTGATGAATGTAAGGGGCTTACCCTGCCTTTCTTTCCTTGAGAAAGAATATACCATTGATTAATAGTTCACTAGGTAATGAACACGTCTGCTAACTATGAACTGCTATATATGTTCAACTACTGGGTGAGAAAGTGCTCAACCTAAGATGTCTATATTACATGTCACTACTTAGAATAGAGATTTTCTTCTTGGAATAGAATTTTTCTTGAATTGGCTAAAAAAGTCATACACTCCATGCAGCCTTCTGCAGTACCATCTGGAAGGGAATTAACAATCTGGAAATGGAGTCTGTGGTGGAATCCTTTGCACTTCACTGCTGGTGGACAGCATAGACCAGTTGTATTTTAACAGATGTGCAAAATCTTTTGCAAGTTGATATTATGCTTTCATGGATTCAAATGAAGTAAGGTACAAAATCTGCTGTACAAAACCAAAGACATGAATCTAAATTCTTTATTTCTAATTTTTGTTTAAGTCTTTCATAGTATATTGCATATCCACAATAGATTGCCAATACATTCACATTAATGAAGATATTGACATGTTGTTATGCTAATGACTGTTTATTGCATTTGTGATAATACCTCCAAGAAATCCAGCAAAGTGACAGCTAAAATACGGAATTAATGTTAAAAAGTATAAGTAGTGAATAACCTAAAATTGTTTTTAAACCAGATCATTAGATGAAATTTAATCTTTTTAACACAATCATTGCAAAAATTTTTTTAACTAGAATCCTGATATTAAATATATTTTCTAAACCTGTGGTCTTTGCTTCTTTTCTCAAAAATTTTCTAGCTACTATCTTAGTTTTCTTTCCTTTCTAGAATATTCCATTACTTCTTGTAGAATGGCTTCTTTCAAAAATGTTTAAATATACAGAGTTTCTTTACCAATAAAATGTGAAAACAAAATGCTGAAAGAAAACACCAAAATAAGCATCTCAGAATCCAGCCTTCTCCTGCTTTGGTATAGCCTACTAGTTTGTCTTCATTGGAAATATTTCTCCAATAAGTACTATTTAAAGTAGATGTTTTATCTTAATTTCTATCGTGGAGTTGGATCATTCTATTCCTGTGCAGTTAAGATATCCAAACTCTAGAAATATACTTAATTCAGTATAATCCTAAAAACTTGAAATAATCGAATTGGACTGAATATACAGGTTATCATTTAAGGATAACTTTATGCTTTTAATACAGTAATCCTATTTCTATAAATCAATCCCATAGTGATATGGTTTGGCTGTGCCCCTACCCAAATCTCATCTTGAATTGTAGCTCCCATAATACGCATGTGTCATGGGAGGGACCCGGTGAAAGGTAACTGAATCATGGGGTGGATTTTTCCCATGCTGTTCTCATAATAGTGAATAAGTCTCATGAGATCTGATGGTTTTATAAGATGCAGTTCCTCTGCACATGCTCTCTTGCCTGCTGCCATGTAAGACATGCCTTTGCTCCTCCTGCTCTTTCCACCATGATTGAAAGGGCTCACCAGCCTTGTGGAACTTTCAGTCCATTAAACCTCTTTGTCTTTATAAATTGCCCAGTCTCCAGTGTTTTTTTCACAGCAGCACGAAAACGGAATGATACACATAGTAAAATTAGAATACAAACACCTTCATGCAAAAAATAAGAATTATTCAGAATTCAACTTTAAAAATTCATTAAATAATCACATATTAATTGTAGAGTATCAGAATAAACATTATAACAATGAAAAATCACTCATGCCAAGTAACTACAGTTCTTTAAGAAATATACTTACTTTGGAATTTTTCTTCACACATTTATTTCAAACTGTGTGCATTATTTTATAATGTGCTTCTTTTTTAGGTTACAAAAATTATTCATAAATATAATTTTAACTGATTATGTAATATCCCATTATAAGGATTTTCAGAACCTAAACATATTTGTTTACTAGGCTATCATGAGTTGCTTTTAATAGCAAAAGATTGGACAATACATAATTGCCTTCTATTTAGGTATAGAACAAGCTTTGATATATTTTAACAATGGAATATCATGCAGCCAGTATAAATGGTGAAGTGAGTGAATATTTCTTTTCAAGAAAATAGGTTCACCAATTAGAGTATATTTGTACTATTCTTACCTGTAACTCACATAGTTTCAAATAAAACATCATATGAAAACAAAATTGTAGTTTTGTTAACCCGGCTCCTAAATCTAAGCCATAAAATTTATCTAATGTTAAAATTAAGAAAATAAATTTCACAGTAAAATAAATGCTGTTACATGTATTGATAAGTGGAGTAGTAAACAGAAAACATCTTGCATTTGCTAGGATTCTTTTTTTTTTTTTATACTTTAAGTTTTAGGGTACATGTGCACATTGTGCAGGTTAGTTACATATGTATACATGTGCCATGCTGGTGTGCTGCACCCACTAACTCGTCATCCAGCATTAGGTATATCTCCCAATGCTATCCCTCCCCCCTCCCCCCACCCCACCACAGTCCCCAGAGTGTGATATTCCCCTTCCTGTGTCCATGTGATCTCATTGTTCAATTCCCACCTATGAGTGAGAATATGCGGTGTTTGGTTTTTTGTTCTTGCGATAGTTTACTGAGAATGATGATTTCCAATTTCATCCGTGTCCCTACAAAGGACACGAACTCATCATTTTTTATGGCTGCATAGTATTCCATGGTGTATATGTGCCACATTTTCTTAATCCAGTCTATTATTGTTGGACATTTGGGTTGGTTCCAAGTCTTTGCTATTGTGAATAATGCCGCAATAAACATACGTGTGCATGTGTCTTTATAGCAGCATGATTTATAGTCATTTGGGTATATACCCAGTAATGGGATGGCTGGGTCAAATGGTATTTCTAGTTCTAGATCCCTGAGGAATCGCCACACTGACTTCCACAATGGTTGAACTAGTTTACAGTCCCACCAACAGTGTAAAAGTGTTCCTATTTCTCCACATCCTCTCCAGCACCTGTTGTTTCCTGACTTTTTAATGATTGCCATTCTAACTGGTGTGAGATGGTATCTCATTGTGGTTTTGATTTGCATTTCTCTGATGGCCAGTGATGATGAGCATTTTTTCATGTGTTTTTTGGCTGCATAAATGTCTTCTTTTGAGAAGTGTATCAATTCAAGATGGATTAAACACTTAAATGTTCGATCTAAAACCATAAAAACCCTAGAAGAAAACCTAGGCATTACCATTCAGGACATAGGCATGGGCAAGGACTTCATGTCTAAAACACCAAAAGCAATGGCAACAAAAGCCAAAATTGACAAATGGGATCTAATTAAACTAAAGAGCTTCTGCACGGCAAAAGAAACTACCATCAGAGTGAACAGGCAACCTACAAAATGGGAGAAAATTTTCGCAACCTACTCATCTGACAAAGGGCTAATATCCAGAATCTACAATGAACTCAAACAAATTTACAAGAAAAAAACAAACAACCCCATCAAAAAGTGGGCGAAGGACATGCTAGGATTCTTAACAGAAGTGAAAAAAAAGAAAATTGTCTGGGAAATTTAAGCAGAACCAAGCAGCAAGCAATTGGCTTGAAAAATGTTCAGCTAGGCAGCACTGACACTGCTTCTGGGCACACATTAATTTTACCACTCTCTTCCCCTACCACTTCTGAGATTGGAATCTGATCTACATCTGGAATAACTGTCACCAATGTGTCTGGAAACTGAATGTCTGCCACTATCGCCAAAGTGGACTCCTGTGAGCTCTACTTCTTCATATCACTAGTGTACCATTCGATACTGAACTGAGAACCGTCTGATAGTAATGATTCTTCTACCAGACTGTTCAGTGATAACCAGAATGCATTGAACTTCCACTAGAAAAAGAAAACAATTTTGCTGAAAATAAATTCATACTCAAAATATAAACTACATGAAATGGCAATCCACCATCAATACATATAACCTGGAAAATTAGTACATCCCAAACTCTAGGTAGAAGAATATAAAGACCATATAATTTGTTTCATTTTAAATGATAAAAAATAGAAAGCATCGTAAAAAGCAAGATGCTCTGAAAAAAAGAAGAAGATACTTTAAAAAATTAAGCCCATATGTAAAAAAGTGTTGTAATAAAAATTAAAAAGTCAATGGGCATGAAAGTCTACACTGACTAGCCAAACATAGGATTAACAAATTGGAAAGTAACATGAAGAAAATCTTCAGTTAAACATCCAAAGATAAAAGACATGAGGAAACATGAATGTAAAAAGACATAGAATAAACATGCCATATAGACCTAAGAGCATTTGTGATAAAGTAAAGAATATTAAAAAATGAAATGAGATAATAGCCAAAGATAATAAATTAGCATTGATGAAGCTGCGAGTCTTCATATTTGCAAATCATGAGACTTATGATAAATTTAGACAAGCAAAGTCTTTGTAATAAAACTGTAGAACATTAAGCATAAAGAAGATCTTTAAAAATACTAGGAAAAAGTTCAAAGTACTTCTGTAGAGTAACAATCATAGTAGAAAGTGTCTTTATACAACAATAGATACCTTAAGATTATTTCAAAATTTCAGTAGTGAATTTTTTATTTTCAGTTCAGTTTGGTTCTTTCTTTAAATGGGTATGTCATCTTTTAACCCTTGGATTGTTTTACTATTTTTCTTGTATTGGGTTTCAACCTTCTCTTGTATTGTGGTGAGTTTCTTACCATCCAGATTCTTAATTCTATGTCTGACATTTTGGCCATTTAAATATGATTAGAATTAATTGCAGCAGAGCTAGCATGATCAGTTCTAGGTAAGAAGACACTCTGGGTTTTTGAGTTGCCAGAGTTCTTCTGTTAATTATTTCTCATCTGGGAGAGTGAATGTTCCTTTACCCTTTGAAGTTGTTGTCCTTTGAACGGGGCTTTTTGTTTCTATCATTTTTATTGCCTATGAGGGTTTGACTGTGGCATAAGTTTGGTACAGTTGAGTGGCTTCATTCCCGAGTGCCTTTAGAGGGCAAGGATCAGCCCCACACTCCTGGGCTGTATGTTCTAACCATAGGAGGCTGGTCTAAGTCCACAGCTTTGTCCTCTAGCTTCTCAAAGTCAAGCCCCATTTGTGCTGGAGGGGCTGAGTTTCTCCCAGATCACTGGCAACTGCACTCCTTAGGATAAGGCAGTAGAGGCATGGGTGTAAGTGTTCTGGTGGGAAGAATGGGTACCCCACAGGGAGGAGACACTCCAGTGGGGGGTGTCACAAGCAGGAGTTGCTCCAATGGGGGCACCATGGGCAAGAGATCCTCCAGCAGGGGCAGCAGTGGCACGGCATATGGGAGGCACTCCATCAGGGTTGCTGAAAGCAAGAGGTGCTCTGGTGTAGGGGCACTTGGGCAGGGGACACTTCTGCATAGGAGCACATAGACTAAGCTAAAGAAAGAATCTCGAGTTTGAAAACTGCTCCTTTGAAGCAACACAGAAAAGCAAAAATAAAGATAAAAGAATTTTAAATAATGAACAAAACTTCTGAGAAATAAATGGGATTATGTAGAGACCAAACCTTATTGGCATTTCAGAAAGAGAAGGAGACAGAGCAAGCAACTTGGAAAACATATATTCCACATATTTTTTCCCAATTTCTAGAAGTCAACATGCAAATTCAAAAAACTCAGAGAACTATGTATGTGAGATAATATGTATTAAATAAGATGTCCATCCCCAAGACATAGAGTCTTCAGATTTTCCAAGGTCAACATGAAAGACAAAAATCTTAAAGGCAGCAAGAGAGAAGGGGCAGGTCATCTACAAAGGGAACCACATCAGGCGAACAGCCGAACTTTCAGCAGAAACCTTACAGGCCAGAAGAGATTTAAGGCCTATTTTTAATATCCTCATAGAAAAGAAATTCCAACCGATAATTTTATATCCCCCCAACCTAAGTCTCATAAGAGAAGGAAAAATTAAATCATTTTCAGACAAGCAAATGCTAAGGAATTCATTACCACTAAACCTGCCTTACAAAATCTCCTAAAGACAGTGCTAAATATGGAAATGAAAGAACAATAACTGCCACCACAAAATCCTACTTAGGCCTATGTCCCATTGACACTATAAAGCAACTATACAATTAAGTCTACATAACAACCAGCTAATATCATAATGATAGGAGCAATTCCTCACATATCAATATTCACTCTGAATGTAAATGGACTACACATGCCACTTAAGAGACATAGAGTGCCTAGTTAAATAAAGAAGCAAGACCCAACTGCCTGGTGTCTGCAAGAGACCCATCTCACAACCAACAATACCCATAGGCTCAAAGGACAGGTATAGAGAAAATCTTTTAATCAAATGGAAAACAAAGAAGAGCAAGGGTATATCTTACATCAGATAAAGCAGACTTTAAGCCAACAATGATCAAAAAGGGCAAAGAAGAGCATTACATAATAGTAAATGATTCAATCCAATAAGAAGACTTAACTCTCCCAAATATATATGCACCCAGCATTAGAGCACCCAGATTCACAAATCTATTCCTTAGAGATCTATTAAGAGATTTAGATAACAATACAATAATACTGGGGGACTTCAACATCCCACTGACAGTCCTAGACAGATCACTAAGGCAGAAAAAAACTAAGATATTCTGGATATAAATTTGGTGAATAACCAATTAGACCTAATAGAAAACTGCAGAATATTCCACCAATAACCAATTAGACCTAATACAAATCTGCAGAATATTCCACCAATCAACCACATAATATACATTCTTCTCATCTGCACACAGCATATACTCTATGATCAATCACAGGCTCAGCCATAAAGCAAGTCTCAACAAATTAAAAATGAAAAGAAATCATATCATTTATACTCTGAGAATACAGCACACACACAAAATATTATAGAAATCAATACTAAAAAGATCCGTTTAAACCACACAATTACATGGAAGTTAAACAATCTGCTCCTAAATGACTTTTGAGGAAATAATGAAATTAAGGAAATTTTAAAAATTCTTTGAAAATAATGAAAACAGCGACACAACATAGCACAATCTCTGGAACACAGCTAGAGCAATATTAAGAGGAAAGTTTATGACACTAAATGCCTACATCAAGAATTTAGGAAGATTTCAAATTATCAACTAACTGTTGCACCTAGAGGAACTAGAAAAACAAGAAACTAGAAAAACTCTAAACCTAGCAGAAAAGAAATAACCAAACTCAGACTTGAACTGAACAAAATTGAGATGTGAAAATTCATATAAAGGAGCAATGAAGGGCTGGGAATGGTCGCTTATGCCTATAATCCCAGCACTTTGGGAGGCCGAGGCAGGAGAATCACGAGGTCAGGCATTGGAGACCAGGCTGCCCAACATGGTGAAACCCCGTCTCTACTAAAAATACAAGAATTAGCCAGGCATGGTGGTGCATGCCTGTAATCCCAGCTACTCAGGAGGCTGAGGCAGGAGAATCGCTTGAACCCGGGAGGCGGAGGTTGCAGTGAGCTGCATTGCACTCCAGCCTGGGCGACAGAATGAGACTCCATCTAAAAAAACAAAAACAAAAACAGAACAATGAAACAAAAGGTGGTTCTTCAAAAGGTTAAACAACACTAATAAACCACTAGCTAGATTAATATAAAGAAAAAGAGAAGATCCAAATAAACACAATCAGAAAAGACAAAGATGACATTACAACCAACCCCACAGGAACACAAAAAAATCCTCAGAGACTATTATGAACACCTCTAAGCACATAAACTAGAAATCCTAGAAGAAACTGATAAATTCCTGGAGACACACAGCCCCCCAAGACTGCACTAGGAACAAATTTAAACCCTGAACAGACCAATAATGAGTTCCAAAATTTAATCAGTAATAAATATCCTACCAACCAAAAAAAGCCTAGGACCAGATGGATTCACACCCAAATTCTACCAGATGTACAAAGAGCTGGTACCATGCCTTCTGAAACTATTCCAAAAAAAAATGAGGAGGAGGGACTCCTTCCTAATTTATTCTATGAAGCCAGGATCTTTCTGATACAAAAGCCTGCCAGAGACACAGCAACAACTAAATTTCAGGCCAATATCCCTGATAAACATAGACACAAAATTCTTCAATAAAATACTAGGAAACTGAATCCAGTAGCATATCAAAAAGTTAATTCACCATTTTCAAGTAGACTTTACCTCTAGGATGCAAGGTTGTTTTACCTTACTCAAATCAATAAATGTAATTCACCATACAACCAGAATTAACAACAAAGACCATCTGATCATCTCAATAAACACAGAAAAGATCTTCAATAAAATTCAACACCCATTCATGTTAAAAGCCCTCAACAAATGAGGAGTGAAGGAACATACCTCAAAATAATAAGAGCCATCAATGACAAATCCACAGCCAACATCCTGCTGAATGAGCAAAATCTGCAAGCATTCCCTTTGAGAACTGGAACAAAACAAGGATACCTACTCTCACCACTGCTATTTAGCATAGTACTGGAAGTTCTTGCCAGAATAATCAGGCAAGAGAAAGAAACAAAAGGCATCCAAATAGGAATAGAGAAAGTCCAACTATCTCTGTCCAACTATCATATCATCTCTTTACAGATGATATGACCCTATGCCTAGAAAACCTCATAGACTCTGTCAGATGGCTTCTGGAAGTGACAACCGACTTCAGTAAAGTTTCAGGATATAAAATCAATGTGCAAACGTTAGTAGCATTTCTATACAGCAATAATGACCAAGCTCAAAGCCAAAACAAAAATACAATATCATTTAGGATAGCTACAAAAAGAATGAAATACCTAGAAATACAGCTTGCCAAGAAGGTAAAAGATCTCTGCAACAACAATTACAAAACACTGCTGAAAGAAATCAGAGATGACACAGACAAATGGAAAAACATTCCATGCTCAAGGATAAGAAGAACAATATTGGTACAATGGCCATACTGCTCAAAGTAATCTGCAGATTCAATGCTATTTCTATCACAATACCAAAGACATTCTTCAGAGAATTAGAAAAAATCTATTCTGAAATCCCTATGTAAACAAAAAAGAGCCTGAATAGCCAACACAATCCAAAGCAAAAAGAACAAAGTCAGAGGAATCACACTACCCAACTTCAAAATATACTAAATGGCTACAGTTTCCAAAATGGCATGTGGCATGGGTACAAAAATAGACACATAGCCCAATGGAAAAGGATGGAGAACACAGAAATAATGACATCCACCTACAGCCAACTGATCTTTGCAAAGTTGACAATAACAAGCAATGGAGAAAGAACTCCCCATTTAATAAACAATGCTGGGACAATTGGCTAGCCATGTGCAGAAGACTGAAACTGGACTCCTTCCATTAACCATATACAAAAATTAACTCAAGATGCATTAGAGACTTAAGTATAAGGCCAAAACCAATACAAACCATAGAAGAAAACCTAGGAAATACCATTGTGAACATTGGCCTTGGAAATAATTTATGACTAAGTCCCCAAAAGCAATTGCAACAAACACACAAATTGATAACTAGGTACTAATTAATTTAAGAGCTTCGGCATGGCAAAAGAAACTACTAACAAAGTAAACAAGCAACCTACAGAATGGGAGGAAGTATTTACAAACTATGCATCCAACAACTGTCTAATATCCAGAATCTATAAGGAAATTTTTAAAAATCAACAAGAAACAAATAACCCTATCAAAAATGGGCAAAGAACATGGACAATAACTTCTCAAAGAAGGCATGCATGCAGCCCAAAAATATGAGGAAGTGCTCATGGTCACTAATCATTAGACAAATACACATCAAAGCCACAGTGAGATACCATCTCACACTAGTCAGAACGCCTATTGCTAAAAAGTCAAAAAGCAATTGCTGGTGATGCTTCAGAGAAAAGAGAACATTTACACACTGCTGATGGGAATGTACATTAATTCAGCCATTGTGGAAAACACCCCAGAGATTTCTCAAAGAACTTAATGCGATTGACCCAGCAATCCCATTATTGGGTATGTATCCAAAGCAAAATAAACAGTTCTACCAAAAAGGCACATGCACCCTATGTTCGTCACAGAACTATTCACAATAGCAAACACATGGAATCAACCAAGATGCCCATTAGTGGTGGACTGGACAAAGAAAATGTGGTACATATACATCATAGAATACTATGTAGCCATACAAAGAATGAAATCATGTTCTTTACAACAACATTGATGGACCTGGAGGCCATTATCTTAAGTGAACTAATACAGGAACAGAAAAACCAAATAAAACCAAATACTTCATGTCCTCACTTATAAGTGGGAGTTAAGCATTGAATATACATGGGCACATAGATAGGAACAAGAGGCACTGTTGTCTGCTTGAAGGGGGAGTGTGCAAGGGGGGCATGCCTTGGAATCCTACCTGTTGGTACTATGCTCTCTACCTTGGTGACAGGATCATTCATACATCAAGCCTCAGTGACATGCAATTTACCCATATAAGAAACCTGCACATATATCCCCGAACCTAAAATAAAAGTAGAAGAAAAAAATAAATGATTTTGTAATAACAATGTGCTGAGAAAAAAAATGTGTCAATCTAGAATTCTATATACCGATAAAATGCTGTTCAAAAGTGAGGGAAAAATAAATACTTCAGGCAAAAAATGCTGAGAGTATTCTTCATCAACCACATTAAATATACTCACAAAGAATGTTTTTAGGAAGAAAAAGTGAATTAAGAAGGACAAAATGAGAGACAAGAAGCAAAGGTAGATGAGAGGAGTTGGCAAATATTATGAAGAGATAGGTATTTTAATAATTTGTTTCAATGTTGAAAGATATACACTATATTCTTCACTTCTTGCCCCATTCTCTCAATCCTCCATTGCTTGGGGAAAGAATAAGCTACATGATTGGTGAGCTTTGCGGATGCTGACAATCATGTTTGGTTTAGTATCCTTTCCCTGGGACTCTGCCTACCTGCAAAATACTAGCAAACTATGGTTTTTTCATGATTTTAGGAGTACAAATGTATATTAGAAAAGTTTGTAGTTTCCCAGCACTGTCTCTGACTAGTGAGATAATTTAATTCGGGAGAAAGCTACAAAAGCTATTTGGCTTTCACAGTAAGCTATGTTTTTCATATTCACATCATTAGCACTGCATAAAATATTTTTGCCTCCATTTGCCTAATTTCATTTATTTAATTGGTTATTTACAAAGGACATATTATCAACTTTTGGTGCAAAGATTAAGAACTTCAATAATTGACTCAGAGACTCCTTTGGGAAGCAAAATACTTGCAGTTAAAATATAGTAAGGAAGCTTTAGAATTTGTTAAGAAATTGTTGCATGAGATTTTTTTTTTTTTTTTTTACCGCGTTGGATTAGTTGCAGCTTATGATGGCTCTGTACAGAAACTTTTTATAAAGTTAAAGCTGCAGGCATAGACCTTAGGACTTGAGTGCTTGAATTAGAGTCCTTGCAAATAGATGGTAGACCTTTACAACCTTAGCAAATATGGAACTGGCTTTGCAAGTATTTAGCAATCAGAAACAGTAAAAACAATAGTTCGATTATGTAAAATGAAACTTGATGTGAATTATTTTCAGGTATCAGAATGTATTTTACCACTTTTGTTGGCTTTCTCATCCATATTAGCTGTCAGAGAGGCTGGAGACTTTAAAAAGACAGTTTTGTTCCATGTTCATCAAAGAACCCCATCAAATGTGCAGCTTTAAACTGTAGTTGTCAGGTTGTGCCAGATGAACTGTTCCAATTTCTTATTCTTTTAAATGTTTCCAACCACATTTGGGACCAAGAGAAAAAAAAAGTCTGCAAGAGACTAACCTTAGATTTTTTATAATCAGTCTATGTATAGATGAGAGGAGAGAGAGGCTATTAGAAACTAGAATAAATTTAAAGACTTGTAAAAGGATAAAGATAGCAAATTACTGTTGTAAGTAAAAACATATTTACAAATACAAAGGCAAGCACCAAGGATGATAATATGGTTGACAACAATTGACTGTTGGAGGGAAGAAGTTACAAGCTAATTTTGTTGTTATTCATAACATGTACCCAATATATATTGTCTAACAAAAGGGGCAAATGATGTATTATATTATATATACATATGTTGGTAATCGCTAGAACGAATTTCAAAATAAAAATAGTAACCAAGAAGCTAAAATAGTGAAAACTAAATTATATACATTGATGTATGTGTTTATGGGTATGTGTGTGCAAACGTGTAGGTGTAAACACACATGAACACATATATACATATATATCAGAACTAAGACCAAACATATTTATCATAACAAAAAATGAAAATAAGCTTAGGTCACCTGTTAAAGGAGTATTGTTCAAATTTGATTGTAATTTTAACTCCATACTGTTCACCAGAAGCATAACAGAAAAGTGATTTAGAAATATTAAAAATAAAATTATGAACATGTTCTAGGCAAATATAAAAAGAAATAAAAAATATACTGTGATTTTGTTATCCATTAAGGTAGAATTAAGAAAACAAATGCATGTTATTAAATTAATGTCTACAATTAAATAAGAAGGCATGAGACATAAATATCTCTACATATATAATAAACAAGGAAGCTACTTTGATATGGTAGAAATTAGAGGGCATATAAAAACAGGCTAGGAATAACAGACTTTATCAGTCTGCGTTGGTTAATAACACCTATTAAAAATACTATAAAATAATGCAACTACATACAAAATTAACCAAATGATGGTACACCTTAATAATAGAAGCACATATTCTTTTCCTAAACCAATGGAAAAATATGCAAAAATTGAAGATGTATTTGTCTACAAAGAAAATATTGTGTTTCATAAATGAAAAAATACTGGCACTATTCCTTGCTAAGACTGCAAATAAGAAAGCAATAACAAATCCCTAAAAGGTTGCTTTCACCTTTCGTTACGATACAGCAATAACGTCGAAAACTGTTTATAAAATAGCCCTTTGTCAAAGGAAAAATACAAACAAAACTTTAACAGTTTTTAGAAAAAGTTAACAAAGTAAATATTAAATCTGTGAACTAACACTGAAGAAGTAGTCAAAATTATTAGCCATAAATATTAAATCTGATAATATAAAACATTTCAAATACATAAATTCAGCATGTTGCTCAAAAATGTCAAAGAACAAAAAATAATCAAGACAATAGCAGAATAAATAAATTAATATAGATAAAACCAGAAAATAATGTGCTTAGAGAGAAAAATAATAGAAGTAATAGATAAGGTTGTTCTTTTACAATAATTACTAAATGATATATATTATTTAAGAGAAAATGAAAATGACAAGGGGAAAATATTATAAGATTTATGACACTTTAATTTTATTTCTTTCCAATACTCATGGCTGACATTTTTTGTCCTTGCCTTATTACACTGGCAAGGACTTCCAGTGTGATGTGGAGTCAAAGATATGACAGCAACATAATTGTCTCATTTCCATTCTAAGAAGAAATATTTTCAATATCATTATTAAATGAGATAGTCTTTTTTTTTTTTTTTTTTTTTACAGCATCTCACTCTGTCTCCCAGGCTGGAGTGCAGTGGTGCGGTCTATGCTCACTGCAACCTCTACCTCCGGGGTTCAAGTGATTCTTGTACCTCAGCCTCTCCAGTAGCTGGGATGACAGGCGTGTGCCACCACGACTGGCTGATATTTGTATTTTTAGTAGAGACAGGGCTTTGCCATATTGGCCAGGCTGGTCTTGAACTCCTGGCCTCAAGTGATCTGCCTGCCTCTGCCTCCCAAAGTGTTGAAATTACAGGCGTGAGCCACCTTGCCTTGCTTAAAGGAGCTAGTCTTCATCAGATTGAGAAAGTTCCCTTCTATTCAAAATTTGCTAAGCAATTTTCTAATGAATCGATGTTGACTTTGTCAAATATTTTATATCTATTTAAAAGATTATTTGTGTTCTCCCCTTTTAGATATTATATTTATATTATGTTAATATTCTATTTACTGATTTTCAAATGTTAGGCCATTTTAGCTTCCTGGTATAAATCCCATTTGGTGATAAAATTTTACCTATATTATATAATAATAAATTAAAAATTTTGAAATATATTTTTATGAAAAGTATTGGCTTATAGAATTCTTTTATATTTAATGTCCATATCATGTTTTGAAAAAGAGGTTAAGCCCACCTAAAAAGAGATGAAAAGTGCTACTCCCCCAATTTTATTTTTTTAATTTACAATAACATTTTGAACAAGGAAAAAAAAACATTTTAATTCTTAAATGTTTGGAAAAAGTTAATTATTAAGCTATATGAACATGATTTACTTTCTTTATGCAAAGGTTTTTAATAAGTGATTCACTTTCCTTAAGAGATGCCAGATGTTCCAATATTCTATTTCTTCTTCCTTTAGGTGGCAACTTGTGATTTCAAGAAATATGTCCATTTTCTGAAAATGTCCAGTTTATTGGTATAAAATGTTTAGAACATATTATAATCTTTTGAAATTGTCATTAAATCTATGGTGATGTCGCATGTTTTCTTCTTGATATTGGTAATTTGCATTTCTTCTCATTTTTTTCTTGGTATCATGCTAATTATATATCATATTTAATATACAATTACATAGATTTTTCTCTACTATACATTGAAAATATTTTATCAATATCTGTTATAACATTTAATTTTTTTCTTTTTTTTAGGTTTGATTTACTTGTTTTGGTTTAGTTTTTGGTTTTTTTTGCAGCTTTTCTGAACTGCACATTTCAATTGCTTATTTATTTTTAGTCTTTTCCTGTAAGTATTAGCTGCTGTGAATTTTTCTTGAACCTGTGCTTTGACTGTGTTTCATAAATGCTGTAATACTGTTATTATTTTTATTTTAAAAAATCTGCAATTTCATTTGCTATTTTCACTTGATTATGAACTACGTAATGATATAATTTCAAATGTACAAATGGGAGGAAATTTGTGTTTTATTTTTTAATGTGGCTCATTCATTTACATTTTCATCATAGAGGATCTTCTGTATTATTTATATTTTTACCAATATAAAACTGTATAGGAAAAACGATGATTCTTTATTAAATACTATTGTTCAAGCACATTCACCTCTTTATGTAAATGAAATCTGTATTATGGATTATGTAAAACTACAATCTTCTATTTTTTTCCCTGAATCTCTATTAGAATGGAGAGATGTGTTAAACTACTGTTATCATTGGTTTTCTTTTTATTTATCTTAGTTTTTGGATCTTGCTATAAAAGCTGTTGCTTTCTTATTAGGTATATAAATATTACTAGTAGACACTGTATTTTGAGGTTTATGTTTAGCATTTTATGTTTTATCTTTCTCCTTTCTCTCTTTTTCTCTTTCTTTCTCTCTCTTTTTCTCTTTCTTTTCCTTTCCTTTCTTTTTCTTTCTCTTCCTTTCCTTTTCTTTCTTTTTCTTTCCTTCCCTCCCTCCTTCCCTCCCTTCCTCCTTCCTTCCTTCCTTCTTTCCATCCGTCCTTCCTTCTTTCCTTCCTTCCATTTCCATGTGCACTCTACTTTTCTATTACAAGATCAGGATTCCAGTATTGTTTCATTTGTGTTTCCCTAGTATATCTTTGTTGATCCATTTCTTTTTAATCATTCTGAATCTCCTGTTCTTTATGTGCAACTTTCATATTCAGCAGAGTTGAGAGCTATTTTTCAGCCAATTTAAACATTAGATTCTTTTAATTGTGAAGATTGACCACTTACATTACTAAAATGAGCCATATAATTGTCTTCATTTAGTCAAATTTCTACATAGAAAATGTAAGTGAAAGTTTTTAATCTATAAATTATATAATTAAGATACTATAAAATAACTTTATAATATGTTTATTTTATAGTTTTTTAAATATTTCAGAACATTTGCATTTTTTCTAATGCTACCTTTATGTAATAACTTTAGAGTTTTGATTTAGGAAAATATATTTTCTTCAATTCTGTCTGCCAAGCAAACACTGAGGGAATAATAAAAAGTATTTTTACAAGGATTATCATATATAAAACATTATGTTATTATATTATTATATTTAATCTTAACAGAAATAAGAAATATATTATTATATTATTATAGTCCTATATAAATAATTTATATTTATTTTCTACTAGGATTAATACTTAAAGTTACTAATAGCCTCTCTTTCCCCTTCCTTTCTTCTCTGCAGCATCAAATTTACTTTAAATTAATATATATGAGTAACTATCATAAAGGTTATTCTACTTTTTACGTACCCTTATCTTCTATTTTCAATTTTTTGTTAGTTGTATTCTATATATTTTTTTATCACAGTGACATTTGCATAGTATTCTGTTGTCTTTATCTATATTATTTAGTGGTACACATGTATTAAATATATTCTATACTTACCACAAAACTCACACCAAAACTACTTTTATAATTTTTTGTTTGAAAGATTTTGTTTGAAGATGCTCCAGGAAAAACTTATCAGAATTTGCATGTTACCTGAATTCCCAAATGTACATAATTTTGAATTGAACTTATAGGTAACTCGATCATTTTGCCTGATTGCTTATAAACTATTTCTTTCTCTTTAAAAACCGATAGATGAATAAAAATCGCTCGTGATGTTGACTGGTCTGTAGAACATGTACATGAATTCTTTTAAAAATTTAGAATGATGATTTTGATAGCTGTTGAATCATTATTTCTAGCATTTGTTTTATTCCACAGCTTGGGCTTCCTTTTCCAAGGACCTCGATTATACTCACAGTGGATCTTTTTTCCATGTCTTTTCTCTTTTATCATTTTTCTCTTAATCTATATTTTTCTCAAATATTTATCTCTTTATTAACTATATTTTTACTTCTTTATATTTTCTACTTTCATTACAGTACTTTCCTTGCTTTTGTTTTCATTGTAGTTTACTCTTGATTTCTGAATTTTTCCTTATTTTTTTCCTAGCAGTCATCTTTCTTTTCCTATCCTGTTGCTGTTTGGTCACCTCATATCTAAATTCTTCTATTTTGATTTTTATCTTTTTTTACATTCTTTGATATTCTCACAATTTAAAATGAATTTTAGACTAATAGGCACTAGTTTTCATGTACGTCATGACCATGTTTTTTTTCTACTCTTTTTTCATTATCCATCACTACATTATTCAGTTTATTCTCTTCTTTTTTTAAATGATTTTTATGGGATTGTTTCTATAATCATTTTATGTTGCTCATGTTTATATGTGATAAGTTCTACCAAAACTTTTAAGACAAACTTTCTGAATGATGAAAGAAGGTAGTAGATTTTCTAGTTTCACTGATCAAGAACTACATCTTCCGTTATTAATATGAAGCATTTTTAAAACTTCTCACTTGTAGCCACTTTTATACTTCTGAGATCTGATTCTTATGGAATCTTCTATCCAAGCCTCATGTCTGAATCTTTTCTCTTATTTACACCCAGTGTTCCCATTGTGCTTTTTTTAATTGCGAAAGTTTTTCGTGCATAGTCTTAGTTCTTTGTCCTTTTGAATAAAAGTTTTTGGAATATTTCTAATGTCCTTAATGTAGTGTAACCAACTATCCTGGTTTGTCTGGGACTGTTTTAGTACTGAAAATCTTGCATTCAAGCAAACCCCTCATCCCAGGGCTAATCTGGGAGGTTGGTCCCCCTACCTCTCTATTGTCTGACACTAGGATACTACTCTGGTCAATTTTATGTCTATTTCACTGTGATAGCCTCACAGCTAGTTAGTGTGTTTGTTCAGTCTGTTCTGCACTCCTAGGCAAATTCGAGTTTGTAGAGCTTCCTCTCACTTACTGTACTTTTACTCATATCTCTTTGCTGAAGGTTCCATTCAGACGGGGGTATTCTTCTTTTGGCAGTAGCTATTTATGGGCTATAACTATGTTAAAGGATTCTCAAACTCCTCAATTCCCACTTATCTTACTCAACTAACTATTATGAGGTTCTGTGTTTGTTATGATTGGGTCATAACCACTCATATTTTATGCTTTCTAAATATACCTAATCATTTTGTCCCATTTTTCTTATTCTTACTGTTTTCTTCTATTTTATTTGAAGATTTTTGAAGATTTTAAAATCTCATTAAAATAATGTTTTTCTCACTCAAATTCCTAAGAGTTATAAATATATGCTTCTGATGAATATCTTTTTTGATGACTCCCCTACTTTTGTATAGCATAGAAATCGCACCATTATTGTGACAATCAGCAATAAAATGAGTTGAAACAACTCTAGCATTGAAAGTTTGCATCAATCGGTTATTTTATTTTATTTTATTGTTGTACTTTATCTTTAAAGTAGTTATTTACCATTGGGATTGTGGGAGAAAAATAAAAGCCTAACTTACTAGATATATTTCTAGTGGATTCTGGAATATTTGGATAAACCTACTTTGGATTCATTACAGATTCTCTGCTCCTGAATAATATAGTGGTCTTGAGATGCACAAAACTGGTCTTCCACTTCTAACATCTTTGACAAGCTGACTTACTTTGTGGCACAAAATTATTCAAAATAAAGGGTTTATTTGAAATTGGAGATCTATGAAATACAGTGTTAATGAAGTAGAACATTTAGAGTAAGGTTAACATTTTAAGAAACTATAACCCCATGGATAATTTCTTTTTGCTATTATAAATGCTTCTAATATTAAGACTTTCTTAAGCAATTAAGCCCTTCTAACAGGTGATCCCTTTTTCCATTCCTGTTTTTCTCCAATTCTAGTGTTGAACAATTAATTGTTTCTTCTGGACGTATCAAAAGTTTATGATTTTGCAACAGTCTTACTTCTATAGTATACTAAACAATACATTAAATATATTGTTAGTGGTAAAAATAAATTTACAAGATTTTAGATAATCAAATAAAGAATAAAGAAAATACACAAACATAGAAAAATGGTCCTACATTTAATAAAAGAATGAAAACAATAATTAATTTGCATAAAGAGAATGTTCAAATCTAGAAAAATATTGATTATCTTCTTTCTTTATAGAGAGTAAAAAAAGATTAGGTTTCATCACGTCTAGAATATCATGTCACTCAAGGTCAGAAAGATCAACAGTTGGATATTTCCTGGGAAAATGTAAATATACCTGCTAGATTAAGAAAGCCACTTGACTTTTTTTTTTCTGAGCAAAGAAAATAAAGACAAAGAAAAAAAAAGAGAAAAGTCCATTTAAGACAGTAGTGTACATCAGGAATATTTTCAGAGGCAGACAAGTTATTTACACAGAAGCTGGAAGTGTAGGAACACATTGTTTAATTCAGTGAACTTTACGTGAAAACAAAGTAGGAGTATGAAAGTAGGACACATATATTAAGCTCATCCTGAATAATCAAGAGATTAAAAGCAAAATGCAAATTACTAGTAATTACTTGTTCTTTGGATACTTTTTGGTAACAAATTTTTCTTGGCCATGAATTGAATTACCTTCAATGTCATCTTTTCATTGGCCACCAATATATCATTTTAATTTAGTTTCAGTAGCTACTCTCAGGAGTGCATGTGCCAAGGACAGCGTCATAGTGAGAAAGCAAAGGGCAGCAGGTTCATCATAAAGAGTGAAAAAAAGCCTTTCACTTTTATTTGCTTAATTGGGGATTAAGTGGATTTTCAAATTTCAAAATGGTGTTTCTTTTTAGAAACTACAATTTTAACAGTTAAAGAAGCTGCTATTATTTCAGTCTCTATGATTATTTAAAAAGAATAGAAAAGAAAAAAAGGCAACATCCAATTCTTAATGAAAATGCTCGTTTAATTTTAGTCCATTTAGATGCATTGGTTTTAAGACAACATGAAATGAAATAATTATATATTCAATATAAAACTCTTTGAAATATTACATAAATAAAAGCGGTAAAATATTTTATTTTACCATGTGCTATATAAGCATCTTATACCTAACATAAGCTTTTGGTTTTCCTCAAAGATGGCCATTGATTAGAATATTAAGGTATTTACTCTTTGAATTGGAATTTAAAAATAAACCTCAGTTAATGTCACCAACATTGTTGTTATAGGACAAAATATTCACCATAGAAAGTCATCACGGTGGCTCTAATATCTCTCCCAGGCAGTACACACAATTTTGTACATTCAGACCATCATTCTCACTATAAATAACAGAGGATGATAATCCAGGCAGAAGAAAATGGAAGATGAAGTTAAAATAAATACTGCTCATCTACTATTCTTCCAACGTGGTACCATTTAACTTCTGCACAGACAGTAATGCCTATCATTGACATTTCAGAAGGGAACTGAAAACATTGTAAACCATTTTCTGAGGTAAGAAATTATGGTATTCAAACAATGCTTCAGTCTAAGAGGGAAAGGCTGACGACTTCAGCATAAAATAAAGCTCATCATAAAACATGCTGTTACCTTCCCATTACAGGACACATGGGAAAGTTTGCCAACAAGAAATTCAGCTTCCTTTTCTAAGATCTTTAGATTTCTTTAGGCTGTTATTGCGGCCACAAAATGGAATGCAATTCAATAGGAAGGCACATCAAGTGACAGTGTAATGGCCAAACTAGATATGCAGTAACTGTTAGAAAAATTTCAAGTTACCTCTTTCAAGTCATATTCAATACTGATAGTTTTTAATTCTATTTTAATTAAATACATTGTAATTTAAATAATATAAATAAAACAATCTCATGCTTAGTATTTATATCCTTACGAAAACTAAAAATGTGGCTAATTCTTGCTCTAAGGTAATTGAGGAATATTTTGAGAATATTGGGGATGATTCAAGATTACAAATAGTAACATAGGAATTTTACACAGCTATTGATAATGCTAGTGAACACGTTAAAAACTCTTCAGGAATTGGATTTATTTTCAAAGTGTGAGTGGGTGTGAGTGTTTTCAGCTATTTTTGAAGATGGCAAATCTACACTTCAAGGGCTGTCAGATTTTCTATCCAATAGAGCTGTTAAAAAGTACATTTTCATAGTTCAATTTGCTACCCCTGGCCAAAATCACGTGACACTTAAGGAGTGCTATGACAAATTAATTGATTTCTTCACATCACCAGGCACAAAGATATTTCTTTATGTTTATGGAAGCAACACGAGGGTCCTGGCAACTAATAGGATTGCAAAAGTATTCATCAGACTTTTCTTCAGCAATACATTTCTACAGAAAACAAATATTTCTGAGTCTTCTACACATTACAAAATTATACGATTTATCCCGTTTTTGACAGGGAATGCCTGAGGTATTTAGATATGGAAAACTATAGAATGTATCATGGATGGGAAATGATAGGGCAGTCTTATCCTACTCAAAATGTGTTTTTTAATACAGATTAAAATTCTCAGCTTATTTATTTGAATAGAAATTTTATTTAGTTTTTAAAAATTACTCTCAATGAATATTTTTTATTCAAAATAACAGCTGGGTTGCCATCTCTAATTATTTATAAACAGAAGAGTAATGTCTGAGAAACTTTAGAAAACACTGTGCCTCATTTTTTGAATGAGTAGCTCACATTATTTGCAATTTATCAAGAGAAAGGTAATATTTAGTATTTATTTATAATAAGATAAAAAAATTTAGAGTAGTCAAAATCCCTTTTTGCTGACAGGCTGCTGAACTCTCACTGGCAGAGTGAGTACAGAGAGATTCAATGTGAAAAGTGGAAGATAATGTGCTCACACACTAATGGGCATTGAACTAGACATAGGCTCATTTTTCACATCATGTCATCTGTAAGGTTTGAATAAAAAGTAATGGCCAGAATGAGCCTGGCTCTATCTGAGACATTATCATTTGCCTCCTCAGTTTTATTTGTGTTGACTTGTACAGTCTAAAAAGATGACAGTCTCTGGGCCTCTGGATCACTCAGAGTGATAATACATAGCACATTACACTGTTGGTGACAGGTTCTGTTCTCCTGGATGGCATATGAAAGGAACGCATCCCTTTCCGTCATTTCAAATGCTATAAACTGACAGAATAAAGAATCTTGTGGAGGGGACATCACAAACCTTGTCTGTTATGATTTTATAAGATAAACTGGAGTTTCTAGAGTATCTTGTTCAGGAAATTAGTGTCAGTCAAACTTTGGTGTTTTTATTTTAAAGAGATAAATAGCAGACTCTAGAAAAGTAGCTTTGCCTGATTTCATACAGCAAAACTGCCAATACCAAATGTCCAAGCCTGAGAAAATCTATGATTGTCCTCTCTTTAAAGAGCCCCTGGGTTACGTAAAGTGTAATAACTATCCATGGCTTCAACAGGAAATAAGTGCCCATGTGTTGACTAGATCTTTAAAGAAATCACTAGCCAGGTTGATGAAAGAACACATCACTATTTTTAAATATTTTGGAAGGCTTGGTTTTTGTTAAATTGCTAACTTAATGTCCTACTGAACTATAAACATGCCAAGACTATAATGTTTTTTTCCTTGGTACATTTATTCAAGGTTTTATCTTCTTTTTCTTTATTTCAGTAACTATTACTGAATTGATTTACAGTAGTATGAATTTAACTGAAGATACCACAAAAATATCACTAAGATAGATAATAATATGCAGAATTTTATTAATTTATCCCAAACTGAATAGCATATGGATTCCCTACTCCTGCGTTTTTTAAAACATTATAGTGTCATAAAAATTTACAGGTACTTGAATCATAATCTGCCAATTGTCATAGCTTTTTTCCAAGTAATTTCAATTTCTTCTATTATAATAAACGTTCCTCGCATGACTTAAGTTTAAGTGATTATTTAAGTTAGACTTGCTCATTGTACTTTTCTGTCCATTTCCATGTTGGAAACTTTTTTTACTGTCACAATGAATGAAATGAATGTCAAAGAATGTTTAAGACATACATTTATAAAAGTTCCTTTATTCAAATTTTTTATTATGAACCCATTAAAAATTTATTTTGCTCTACAATTTGACCATATTGTTGTATTTTTAACTATAAGATAGGGCTGATAATTCAGTTTGACTTGATAGTAAACCATAGGAAATATTTTAAAAATCAAAGATTAAGTATAACAACACAAAATGCTGATTAAGTAAAGAAAGGAACTGATGATAAAGAAGTGATGAGAATCTATTTCAAATTTGTTTCTCTAACTCTGTGGATGTCTTATCAATCATCAGTACTTACGCTTCATGATATTTCAAAAAGTAAATCTAGGTTCCCCCTTTAAAATAGAAAAATAGGTATTAAGCCTCTAGTTACAAGAAATATAAACACTTCTTTCAATATTTTCACATGAAACATGCAAAAATTATAGTTTGTTATCCCGTAGGTGGATTTTTAGAATTTTCTGGGGCTTGGAAATTGATTTGAAATTCCCTAAATTGCAGGTGTGCTGAATTACGTGACTGCCCAAAGGCACCCAGGCATTTATGTGTTCAGATGCACCCTCACCTTCTATTAGGACAGTTTCATTCATATAATCTCATATTGAGATCCAGACACCTGCCATGCACTTGCTGTATCTAATTCCAACTATATAGTTAAGTTGCTTTATGGGGGACATGAACAAAATTTAAATGGAGGGATTAAAAAGTGCTTAATAGCATTAATTTGTAGTAGGATTATCTCAGGTATTTTTTTAAGGGTTGCTTAATGTTTGCCACAATAGAACATTTGCTATTGCTATGAGATCCAGTATAAATTTGCAAATTATTCTCCAACCTGGAAATCTTGGTTTGTTTTCTTCATCAAGGTAACTTTAAGGCTTGAGCATTGTTCATATTCACCTCCTTATGATGTATCATGTGGCTTGATGCCGATTTTACAGACCATTCCCTCCCTTATGTTCTTACCCGATTTGCCTCTGAGTATTTTATTCTGAAGGTGAACAAGTTCCTGATTTGTTCTCTCTCTCTCTCTTTTCCCTTTTCCTTATCCCTCTCCCTCTCTCTCTCATTTCCTTAGAGCAATGCTTCATGAATAGTAAGCATACACTGAGAACTGATGACGTGAGGATGTTTAAAGAACTACCTCCTTTAATGGAGCTAGACTAGTCCTTTTGGGGTGAGTTTTGTTGGACTTTGGCTCCTGCAGATGCACCTCAGCTTTGGAATTATGCGGTCAACAAATAGTATGTAGAATCGAACGTGTTACTTTCATGTAATCAATGCCATTAACCTGATAAACAGCAATAGCTTAAAATTTCATAATAATACGTAATACCACACTTAATTTCTTGAAAACCTACATATCTGATAAACCTTACTGATAAGTGGAAAATAGAAATGAGTGGGGTTGTAAAGAATTAAATCTCACCACTATTAATATATAGAATGTAAGACCACTTCAAGGAAATTGCTTTCTATTATATATATAGAAAAATAGAAAAATCAAAGCTCTTCAAAATCGTTTAGCTGGTATGACAAAAGGTATATATAATAGAATGATGAAAAATTTTTTCAAAGTAAATATCTATTCCTACAGAAAAAAAGGCAAAAATAAGAAGAAGAAGAAAAAAAAAAAGAATGCACTGTAGCCCCTAATACAAGTCTGTAAATCCACAGTGTTGTAAATCAGGCAGCGTCATGGCTAACCACATGGTAGCGTAGGAACCGGGAAAATGCAGCCATTTGCTGAGGCTTAGTGTAAAAGTCATTTTCGCCCTTGGAAACGGGAATTTCTGCCCAATTCCATTAGGCTTCCACCTCATGTCCTTAGACTTACTCCTGCCTTTCTTTGTTCAGGTTTTAATTCCTTAGTGTCGACGTTGAACTCGCCTCCCAGAACAAGTAAGCCTCTTCCTTGTAGTCTGCCATGGAGTCGTCAGGTTAAGGGTGTATCTGCTCCATTCCTGATAAATGCCAGTTTTATCTGGCCCATTTCTTTTGTGTGCCTCTCAGTTAGATAGCAGGGTTAGGACATATAAAATCTTGTATTCTCCATGTCCCTTTTATTTTGGAAAGCTTTTGAGAGCTTAACATTTCCCTGTTTCTTGTTGTTCAGACCAAACCATTCCCTTCTGAATCCGGTTACTAGTGGCCTCTTGCCTCCTACAGCAAATCCAGGCTTCCTCTTGTCATCTTCAAGGAACCCATCTCTATCTTGCCTTTCTGTCCTTGTACACACTGCCTTAGCTGTCACTTTTATCTCCGGTCAATTTTAACCATGTAAACAGAGTAGAATCATTACAACAGTTAGTCAGGAAGTCAACTGATATTATACTGGGATTAAAAAGAACAGAGGCCAAAATTTTCCATTCTAAAGGGCTAATAAATATTTACCAAGACTTTATCAACTTATCACAATATTAAGAACTTTCAACTTATCAGATATGCTTGTATGCAAACATTAATACAAATATATACACACACACCCCTCATTAATTATATATATATAATTAACATATGTACAGTCAACCAATTGGTTTTATCATCTAAAGAACATTATATTTAAAATTATGTATGAATTTAAAAGGACTGCTAAGGTAATATGTTCTAAATCCCTTTGTTTTCTTTCCATCCCTTAATAGATGATTTAACCTCTTTTATATGCCCTTCAAGCATTTTTCTCTTACAAAACTCGTTCTGTTTTTGAGTAGTTAAAAAAAAAAAAAGTTTTCCCTTAACTTGAAATGAAACCCGGCCCCAGTAACTTTCAACTTTTGGATCTTCTTCTTACCTTTTCAATTATACAAATGATGGCTAAATACATTTCCATATACTGTCTTTCAAATATTTTGAAATACATATTGTATCTTACCTGAGTTCTCTATGTTAAGTAATCTCAGTTACTTCAAACTATTATATAATATTATATATTATATAATAACATTACGTTATATAATATTATATATTATATAATAACATTATGCTATATAATATATATTATATAACATTATGTTATATAATATATGTAATATAATATATAATATAATAAAATGTTATATAACAAAATGTTATATTATATAATAAAATATATATTATATAATAAAATGTTATATAATAATATTATATTATAATATATAGTATTACACAATATGTATTATTTGTATCATTTTATAATATAATATGTATTACTATATTATTATTATTATTATACTGTATAACTCTTTTTCATGATCCTGTTTTGTGTCCTCTACTCCTGCTTATCAAAATTTATATCAAAAGATGGTTCTCACAACTGAGTGTGATGTTTGGTCTGGCCACATCCATGCTTATTATTAAGCTAAACTAAAACTCCAATGTGATTTTTACGTGGGTTAATCCTAGGTATGCCTTCTTTATTCTATCCTTATAAACTTGGATTTTTCAGACCTCAGAACATGATAACTTTACATTAACTGCTATAACATTTTAACCTTACAGGTTTATCTATTTTTTGCCTTTAGAGATTTTTTCAGATATTGGTAATAGGTGAATATTGTCTACATTACTTTTAACCTCATGCCATTCACAAATGTGATTGGCATGCTTGTCTGAGTGCTCATCAAAGTCCTTAATAAAGGAGTCTAGCAAAACTCTTTGGGGGCAGTTTGATTATTTTGCAAACCTAGAAATTCAATCAAGATGAAAAGCTTCAATTAGTCTGAAGAAATACGAAATATCAAAACTCTTGTTTTCAACTCTGATGATAATGTAATGAACCTTTGCTATAATGTATATTTAGGTCTTTTGAAACAGTAGGCTTGTGCATGCTAGTAATTAGTTAAATTTTTGGTATATTTTTTATCTTTACAAAGATTGTAAAAGATGACAAAGTTTTAAACGTTACCTGACTTGTCTCTCCAAATAAATTATGTTCAAAAGTTTCCAAAGGATTCTGTTGAAATGGGTAATATTCCTAAAGTTTCTTCTCAATAGCTTTTACGGTACAGAGAATGCCAGTCCAATAAGCCAAAGTAACCACCAAAGTAGCCTTGTGAAAGATCAATTAGTTCAATTATTCGTTTAAAATTAAGAATTTCCAGACAAATATATCAGAAATTATAATAACAATTTGTGCTATTTCAAGTGTTTACTTCTCACCACTAACTACTCTTTCAGAAAATATCTATCTATACCTTATTGAATTGTAACACTTTTTACCCCAATACAAATATCAAAACCTCAGGTGAGAAGATGTAGTTCCAGGTAAACAAACACAAACATTCCATTAAATATTCACCTGTGCCTCTGGTTAAGTCATTTCATCTCTGTCAAGATTCCTTAACAGTAAAGTAAACTAATAGTATGTCATCTCTTTCAAGGGATTTTTTTGAGTTAATGAGCATGCAGTGAGCAATTTAAGGATCAAACATACTGGGCAAAAGACTAAATTTTTATTATAGTGGATACTCGCAGCCTTATGTAATCTGCCAGTCTAAACCATGTGCTGCTTTGGCACATGCTTTACTGAAAATAGCAGACCAGTTTGTGAGCTGGCACAATTTCAACATAGCAGATGGACATGCAACGAAATAACTAGCAAAGAGACCTTGTTTCAACATCAAATATGTTTCCGTAAGGCCAGATTCTTGGGCAAAGTTGTTTTAGCGATCTGGTTGCAACTAAGGTAAGATGGTATATTTCCTTTGCATTTAGCCTTCACTAACTATTTCTATATATTTTAGGGAGTTATTTCAGTTATTTCAGACACTGAAATATTTGTATTTGAAAATCACAATAACTTGGACTCTTTTAGTTTGGAATTTTGAAACACCAGCAAAAGATGAGGCTTAAAGAATACTTGGATTGTCGCTTTATGAGAAACTATAATTATCTAGCTGGCCACTCAAGAAAATGGTAGATTTATTGAACACTGTATCATGATACTCTTCAGTCAATGTTCTTTAATCTTGTGTCTGAAAGGAATGATGTTAACTGAGCTTTTTACTAAATTAGAATATTCCAGATATTATTGACTAGCTCCTTTGAATGGTAATACATTCACATGGCAAGCTAAGAGTAAAAACTGTAAAAATTAATGGAAACTTCAAATAATTTTCAGTTATTGTCAAATATTATAACAATTAAAACAAGAGACATTTATGCTAAATATGTCTTCCGGGATAAATGAATACCTTAAATTTAATAGGATAGTACATACATTAAATAAATAAATTATTTAAATGATTTGAATGTATTTTGTTCAGTAATGTTTAAATATATGATTTGTTATGGGTATAAATTTCATTTCAATTCCTGGATACATCATAACCCATCAGCACTGAAAAGCTTTTTGAGAATTAAGAGCAACAACTAAAGTAATACATGCATATGATAAAAAAGCAATCAGACAATAAAAAGTACAAGTTTTCCTCCTACTGGAAAACCGCTAGTGCCTCTGTGAATATGTAACTACTTAATAGTTATGTGTATATGCTTTCAGAAACATCTGATATGTATGTTTTAAAATTTATATTCTTATGTAATATTTTTATATATTTTAATTAATGTCCTAAAACTCTGCATATGACAATTCATATTTTTGTTTTTAATAGCTTTATATTAATTATTATATAAAAGAACCATGATTTATCTAAACAGTCCCACATTAGTGGCCATTTTAATATCTGGCAAGGGTCACATTACTGATCTTTTTCTGAAATTTCCTGGATATTGTCACATATTTATTTCCCTAGATGAACACCAGTGTTATTTTGTCAAGTGTTCCTCCAAGTAAAAAGGCAGATGGAGTTTTCATTTGCATTGAATAGAATTTATGAATTTAATTTAGGGAGAATTATAAAAATAAAGTTTTTAATCAAAGAACATGATTTTTTTTTACTATTCATTCAAGATTATTTATATCTTTCACTTGTATGTTTGTCATGCAATATATCATAGGTGTGTAAGCTTTTTTTCATATAAAATCAGTACATTTCTAGTTAGGTATACTCTTGATTATTATTATCATTGATACTAACCCAATTAACAACAGAACTTTTTCTTTCTCTCTATCTTAACCTGCCACTATTTGTATATAGGAAAGCTGCTGTTTATATTAATTGGCTAACCATCCACTTTTTTTAACATTCTTTTATTGTTTGTAGATTGTGGTATATTCTCTTGAGTTTTCTTGCTTATATAGTCATAACATCTGCAAAAATTGTTACATTTCTATTCTCCTTTCAATTTTATATTCCATGCATTTCCTTCCCTTCTCTAATTGCACTGGCTAGAATTTCGGGAATATTGTTCAATAATACTGGTAAAGTAAGGATCTGTTTCATTTCTATCACTTTAATAAAATATGTTTAATTTGTTAAGCTTTATGTTGGCATTGGTTGGTGATAGCTCAATCCCTGTTACATTATTCTATGAAGATATAGATATTAATTTTCTTCTATGAAGGTATCTATTTTCATATAATATTAAGGGTTTTTATTTTTGTTTGTTTACTTTAAGAGGTAGATTTTATGGGTTCTTTTCAATTATATATTTCTCCTCACCTTTTCCATGAATTTTACACTCCATTGACTTTAAATTGGGCCATGTGACTTGATTGGACCAATGATACATGGGTACAGATATTTTTAATGGGTTTTTGTTGTTTTACTAACCCTGATCCTTTGACCTATACCATGGGGGCCACATGGTCCAGATAGGTTACTCCTTTAGCCTGAATCCAGTTAGTTCAGCCCAGCTCAGCATTGCCTAGTAGAGTTCATAGATTCCAGCCATACAGCAACCCACACAACTCAGAATGTGAGTGAGGAACAGAGTAACCAAATATTTATTTGGTCTTATCAATAACTAATTTCAATCTTAAGTGTCTTTGCATATATGTTAGTTACTATATTATTTTCGTATGTTTTCTGAAAAGAAATAATCTTTATATGTCTAAAATGAAATCCATCTGCACACAGAAGGTAATTTTTTACATACAGCATAAATAATATGCTTTTTTTGAAAATTTTAAAAAAATTATAATTATTTTTCAGACCTGGTCTATAGGAAGTACTTTTTTACAATTTGATATCATTTTAATAAGTAATATTTTTGTATTGCTATTTTGGTTTGCTGGCTTGACTTTTGTGTCTTCATCCAGTTTTGCCATCAGTGCTATGATAGAGTCAAAAAAACAATTTAGAAGCTTTGTTCTTAAAGTTATGTTTTGGATACATTTAAATAGCATTTGAATTTGTTTATTCACTTATAATCCAGGCCTGTTTTTTTTTTCTTTTAGGGAGTGGTTTGATAATGTTTTATTATCATCTTAGTTTATTGGTCTATTAGAAATGTATGTGTATTTTGCTGACGACTCATTTCACTTAAGTTTTCAAGTTTATTTCTATAGTGTTTTACAAATTACTCTTTTATAATTCTTATTTTATTCTTATAGTTATTTCTTCATCTTCATTTTATATATTCTTTATTTGCTTAGACTACTTAAATTTATCCCTGCTTTTATTCTTATGTATATATTGTCTTATCTCTGCAGTGGCCAAAAAAATTTTAAATAGAAATTATGCTAATTATCCTTCTGATTAATCATGGCTAGATGATTTTCATTGAAACTGCCATTACCATACCATCTTGCAACACACTTCTATTCCCTCCATTAAATCTGGCTTTCTTTCTAGCCTTGGAAAACATCAAACTTACCTCTGCCTTTGGACCTTTGCATTAGCTCTTTCCTCTACTTAGAGTATTCTTCCTTCAGAATACAGGTTCTCAACTGTGTCTATACATTGAAATAAATTGGAGTGTTGCAAAAGAAGACTGATGCCAAGAACCTGCCCTCAGATATTCTGATTTAATTGATTTGAAAGCAGCTTGAGAACTGAGATTTTAAAAACTCTTCAGGTGCTTCTAATGTGTGGAAAACCATGGCCCTAGGCCATTCTCATCCACGATTCTCAGGTGCTTCTAATGTGTGGAAAACCATGGCCCTAGGCCATTCTCATCCACGATTCTCAGGTGCTTCTAATGTGTGAAAAATCATGGCCCTAGGCCATTCTCATCCACAATTCTCAGCCATGGATGAGAATGAAAATTCCAAACACCAAAGGGGTATAATATAAAACAATGCATGTGCTCCAACCCAAATTGATGAAATAAGAACTTTGGAGATTGGATGAGGGAACAGTCAAGAGTAGTTTTTAAAACTCCCTGGATGATTCTAATATGCAGGTAGGGTAGAGGAATACTGTCTTAAATGTTTTTATAATGGCTCCTACCTGTTCTTAGATAACAATTCAAGAATTACTGGAGAAAAGTTTTACTTGACTATATTATGTAACATATCTCCATATTATGAGTCCTTAACCCCCATATAGATTATATCTATTTTTTAGAGTTTACCACTGTTAAAAGGTATTTTATCCATTTATTCATTTATATATTTTTGTCTGATTTTTTCTGAATTGTATTCTTCATGTATTATTAATTCTTATGACCCAACTGCCTAAAAAACAAATTTAACAAATTGTACTGTTTTGTTTTATTTAGTAGAATTGATAAAATCTGTTATTAATATTGTCACCTTTTAAAATAATTTTTTGATGCATTTTTTCCTCCCCCATACTGAGTTTATATCATTGTATTATTGCTTTAGGTGACTCCTGTACATAGTACAGATTTGGCTATAGTTCCAACTAGTCTTGAAATGAGAGAAAGTTTCAGTTGTTTGTTTTAGTCTTTTGGTATGTAGATGATTTTTTTGTTAATATTTATATCTGGTAATTTTCAAAAATTACAGATTAGCATTAGTTATGAATTGGGTGGTTGCAAGAAAAATACCACCCAGTTGTTTTGTATAAAGAAGAACTTCAGTGAAAATTTAAGCATTGTAGAGAAAAATTGCAAACAAGCCAAGAAAGACATTCAGGTAAAGGTGTTTCTAGAGATGTATCACTTTGTCAAAGATCAGATAGTTGTAGGTGTGTGGTCTTATTTCTGGTTTCTTTATTCTGTTCCATTGATCTATGTGTCTGTTCTTGTACTAGTACCGTGCTGTTTTGGTTATTGTAGCCTGGTAGTAGAATTGGAAGTTGGGTAGTGTGATGCCTCCAGCTTTGTTCTTTTTGCTTAGGATTTTCTTGGTTATTTGGGCTTTTTTTGGTACCATATGAATTTTTAAATAGTTTTTTTCTAATTATGTGAAGAATGTCAATGGCACTTATATGGGAATAGCATTAAATCTATAAATTGCTTTGGGCAATGTGGCCATTTTCACAATATTGATTCTTCTGATCTATGAGCATGGAGTGTTTTTCCACGTGTTTGTGTCCCTTCTGATGTCTTTGAGGAGTGGTTTGTAGTTCTCCTTGAAGAGGTCCTTCACTTCCCTTGTTAGCAGTACTCCTAGGTATTTTATTCTGAAAGGATTCCCTACTTAATCAATGGTGCTGGAAGAACTGGCTAGCCATATGTAGAAAATTGAAACTGGACCCCGTTTTTACACCATATACAAAAATTAACTCAAGATGTATTAAAGACTTAAATGTAAAGCCCAAAACTATAAGGACCCTAGAAGAAAACCTAGGCGATACCATTCAGGACATAAGTACAGGCAAAGATGTCATGACAAAGATGCCAAAAGCATCTGCACATTAAGTCCTAAACAAAATATTTAAAACATTATAAGGAAGTTCACTAAAAGAGGGAAGACAGTCTTAATTGCAACCAGAGATCATAAGTGAGAGTACATGTAACAAAATGACACTTAGGCTTATAGATAACTTTTTAAGAGCAACAAAAGAAGACAAAAATTAATGGGAGAAAATATTTTTAAGGTGCTGAGAAAAATACCATGTTTCAATTCTATAGCTAATTTATTATTAAAAAGAAATATAAAGAGCATCTAAATCAGAAAGGAGAAAATAAAATTGCCTCTGCAGACATCATCTTCTATATAGAAAATCCTAAAGATTCCACAAAAAGTGCATTAACTATAGATGAATTTTGTAAAGTTGCAGGATACAAAATCAACATACAAAAATAAGTAGTGTTTCTATACACAAAACAAACTATCTGATAAAGAAATTAAGAAAACAATTCCACGTAAAATAACATCAAAAAACACTTAGAAATAATTTTAACTAAAGAGTGAAAGATTTGTATGATGATGGAAGAAGATACAAGTAAGTGAAAAGGTAACTTGTGTTATGGATCAGAAGGATTAGCATTTTTAAAATATCCATACGCACAAAATCATCTACAGATTTAGTGCAATCCCTATCAAAATTCCAATGACATTGTTAAGAAAATAGAAAGCACTATCCTGAAGTTCACACAGGACCACAGAAAACCCTAAAAAGCCAAAGCAATCTTGAGTTAAAAGAACAAATCTGGAGGCATCACACTACCTGGTATCAAAATCAGCTACTAACATATAGTAAACAAAAAAGCATAACACTGGCAAATATCAATGGAACATAGGAGAGAATGCAGAAATAGATCCAGTCATTTATGGTCAAATTATCTTCAACACAATTGCCCAGAACACACAATTTCTTCAAAAAATAGTGCCGTGAAAACCAGATATTCACATGTTGATACCATATTTTGGCTATTGTAAATAATGTGGCAATAAAGAAGGGAGTGCAGACATCTCTTTGACATACTTGTTTCATTTTTTTTAAATACATGTTTAGTAGTGGGATTGCTGGGTAACATGGCAGTTCTATTTTTTAAACTTGGTTGAAAAACGGTTAAGGAAAATATGATATATACACACAACGGAATGCTATTCAGCCTTAAAAAATAAGAAAATTCTGTCACTTGTGACAACATGAGATAACTTGGAGGATATTATGCCAGGTGAAATAAAGCCAATCACAGAAAGACGGATACCTCACAATTTCATTTATATGTGAAATCTAAAAAAGTTTAATTCATACAAGTGGAGTAAAATGGTGGTTACTGAGTGAGGTGGTGGGGGATGGGGGAGGTGGTCAAAGGATACAAAATTTGAGTTGTACAGGAAGAATAAGTTCAGGAGATATATTTTAAAACATAATAATTATAATTAATAACAATGTATTATATAATTGAAGAATGTTAAGAGAGTAGATTTTACATGTTCTCACCATAAAAAAGATAAGTATGTGAGATAATGAATATGTTAATGAACTTGATTTGCACATTCAATAATATACAACTTTACTGGCACATCATGCTTTTTACCATACATATATACAAATTTCTTCCAGTGATAAAACCAAATATTTGTTTTTAAAGAATGAAAATGAGATAGGAACAGAATAATACTTACATGCCAGTCACAAAAGAATGACTATATGATATAAATCAGAAAGAAAGAAATTAAAAGAAGGAAAAAGGAATGAGATCTATAAAGCAAAGATGAACAAATTATATATAATATGATATATATAATATATATATATATAATATATATATAATATATATATACATATATAAGCAGGTGGGTAAAACTAAAGAATTCTGATAGTACAAAATAATAATTGTTGTAACAATAATGACTATTATACTGATTAATAAAAAACAAATATAAAATGTAACAGTTTTGGGATTTAAAAATTGTAGATATTTTTGTGAGAATGAGAGAAACAATTGGTAACATTAGACTTTATTAAGTATATAAGTTAAGAGTTTAATGCTTAATTTTCTTAGTAATAGAGGTAAAATGTGGAATAGATAAAATTTGACAAGTTGAAGATTATAAAAGGAAAACGGTGGGAAAAGAAAGCAATTAAAAGTAAATATTCAAATAATATGATATAAATAATAAAAATCAATAAATGTAACAAACCTGATTTGACTGAACTTGGTATTTAAAAGAATTTTTTAATAATCCTAGTTAACATAAATAAAGCTGTTATAGTTCTAATAGTTTAAAAATAAATATACATAATCATTAGTAAGAAGAAAATACCATAAAATAAATATAACAATTCCAAAGTTTTGTTTTATTTAACATAGTTTCAAATTCATACAGAGCATTAATTAGCATAATTATCAGGAGAAATTGATAAATCCACTTTTGTAGATTTTAGTATACCTATTTTAGTTATTGATAAGTAGAAAAATCAGTAAAAATATAGATTTGAACAACATGGTGAACAAATATTAAGTTCAAACAAACATATATAATACCTCTATTTATAATGCAGAGAATTTGAATTTTTCTAGCCCACAGTGGTAGACTTGTGAAACCTCATCAGGTTCTAGGACACAAAATAAATATTTTCACAAAAAAAGGCATGTGGGAGTAGTTGTATACAATAGCTTCTCTAAGCTGAAAAGAACTAAGGTAAAGTAAAAATAGAGCCTAAATTTTATTTAATAACCTACTATAAGTAAACAGTGGATTACATGAGAAATTGTAATGAAACCTAGGAAACATTTAGAATTATACGATAATGAAAATGCTACACGTCAAATATGTGCAATGTTGCCAGTTTTAAAAAATAGCTAAAATCCTACAAATGTGTATAAAAAATGTAAAATCTAGATAGTTTCTAAAAATTGTAACTTACCCACCCTACTCATGAAAAAATAATACCTCTGTATATCTATATCTGAAAAATCTATGCCTAGTCCCTCACTCAAAAAATAGCATTCCCATACATGTTTTATAAATATATTATGTCTTGCATTTAAGCAACATAAAGCCCAATATTATATAAATTCTTCTAGAGTAAAAAAATTCAATGCTTACCAAATCATTTTATAAGGATAGTATAACTTTTTATAGCAGACAATGCAAGAAGTATATGAGGAAAGATCACTAAAACTAATTTTATATATGAACATAGTAAAATCATCTTTTAAAAAATACCAAATTATAATGTTCAAAGTTGATTTAATATTTAAAACTCTATTTTAACCAACACATTAAATATTAAAGTAGTAGTGAAAATAATTAGATAATTTCAATAAAGAATAAACCATTAAATCACATTTACATTTTAGAACACTAGAAATAGAAAAATTTTTCTTCATAAATGTTATTTACCAGAAACTTACACAAACATTGTTTTTCAAAGCAAATGTAATAGTTTCCTTTAAATCCGTATACAAGACAAGGATGTCTTGTATCATACTTCTATTCAGTATTGCATTAGATATTCTAAACTATGAAATAAGTTTTAAAATTTAGAAATTAAGAAACAGAAGGGAATGTTTTCAGAAAAGAAATTGTCTACCTAAAAATCCAGACACATCTATAGAAATATTAGTAGATATAATAAGTTATTTTAAATTGAAACTATATTTTTATGTCAGTAAAATATTAAAAACTTTATAATGTAATAAAAAGACCATCTTAGAAAAGTAACAAAGCCTATAAGATATTCAAGATTAATTCTAACATCAGTAGATATTATAAAATTTAGACACAGAAGATAAGATGCAAGTAAGTTTAAAGATATGCCATGTTTATGAATGGGAAAAGTCAATATCATGATGAAGATTCTTCCACTGTTAATTGCAATTTCAAATAAAATCACAAAAGTTTATTTTACAAATGTTCTCAAGCTGATCATACTATATATTCAAGAATAGGCATAGTGAATTTGAAAAAGAGGAACAAGATTGGGAGACTGTTCTACAATTTAGAAGACTAAATATAATGCTAATGAAATTCTGGTAATTCACCATTGATAAAAGGATGAAGAAACCAATGATTCAGACCCATACACATGTAGAAATTTGATGTATGCAAATGAAGACATTTAAAATCATTGGGACAGGTGAATTATTCAATAAATTTGACAGAAGAATTGTTTAACTCCCCCACCCAAATGGAAAGAAGAATATTTTCACCCTTAAAACATTCTTAAAAGTAAATTCTATGCAAACTAGTCACCTAAGATTTAAATTACAAAAAACAAACATTAAGAAAGAAGAAAAAGAAAGAAATATACAAGCCACAAGAAGAGATATGTGCATCACTTGGAACTTTCAAAGGATTAATATTATGAAACTCATATACATAGAATAAGAGAAAAAAAACCAGCCAAGTAAAATAAGTGACAAAGATGTGAATAGGAAGTCACATAAGTTGAAACGCAAATGGTCAGTTAATACAAAATAAGACATTTAATTTCACTATTAATCAAGAACATATAAATTAAACCACAATCATATGTCATTCCATACCAATCAATTTAGAAAAATTTAAAAGGATTACGAAGGATATATGAGTTCTCTCATACAATTCATAAGAAAAGGGAAAACATGGAACAAAAAAAGAAAATACTAGAAATGGTGATGCCTTTCCTTGCCACCAAAAATTGTCATGGACTGTGCTCTCTAGAGACCCTAATCCTCCGTCACAGTGCTTGGACTTTACTCGGTTTTGTTCTTTGTCAAATGAATAATGATTCCCATTCTAGTTGCTCACAGATACCTCAACTGTACTCTGAAAAATGTTAACTTTTCTCATGCTGAAAAACAAGAGATAATAATTACATCATGGCTTTAAATTTAAAATTATGTACAATTTCTGAAGCTAATATATATTATTTACATTCAAGATTCAGTTTGTCAACCAGGCTTTTAAAAATTGAAAGAAGCTTATTGGTAGGGTGCATGAAACTAAAAGGAAACAAAATGACATCAGTTTCTCCAAGCCATTTTCCCATTCCCCCTCTAATAGCCCAATTTTTTAAAAAAATACAATGTTAAATAAGGTATGTCCTTTTAAAAAATCAACCTAGAGGTATAATTTACGTACAATAAAATGCATTCATTTAAGTGGTAAATTTTGACAAATATATTCACTTATTTAACCACTAACACAATTAAGGCATAGAACATCTTCATCACCCCAAAGAGTTCCCTCAATCCCCTACTTAGTCATCTCCTCCCCCAGACACTACAACCCCCTTCATTCCAGATAATCTATAATTTTTTTTTACACTAGGTGTTTGCCTCCTTTACAATTTGATATATATAGAACTATGTAATATGTACTCTTTGGTGACTGAGTCCATTTGAGTAGCACAATGCTTTTGAGATTCATCTGTTTTACTTTTTAAGCCACGTAGTATCTTACATGGCAAAGTCACAATTTGTCTATTCACTCCTCTTTACGTGTACATTTGGTTTGCTTTTAGGTTTTGGCTATTATAAAGAAAAAAGCTATGACTATTCCTGTAAAAATCTTTGGGTAGACTTTTTAAAATTTTTTTCTTTACATTTACTTTTAAAATAAATAGCCAACTCAAAAATATTTAAAGGAAAATAATGAAAAGTCTTTCTCCAGCTTGGCCCAAATAACTACGTTTAGTGGGTTCTTTACTCTTCCAATGATTGCCATGCACATAGAAGCCCACAGAGCGCTATGTACTTTTTTCTTTCCCTTCCTCATCCCCAAAGAACCATCCCATATGTACATTTCTATAACTTGCTTCTTTATTTTTTTAATTTACTTATCTCTAATCAACATAAAAATTTTTTTGATGTAAATTATTTGAATTTACCACATGTATAGATTTGAGTAACCATTACCACATCAAAGAGATGAAATAGTTTTCTCACCTCATAAAATTTCCTGTTGCTATCACTTCACAATCAAATTCCTTCAGGCATCTCACCCCTGACAATAACTAATACATTCGCCATCACTGTAGTCTTTTTGAGAACCTAAGTGGAGCCATACAGTAAGTAACTTTTTGAGACTAGTTTCTCTCACTCAGAGTAATGTCTCTGAGATTCATCCAAGTTGTTGTATATATCAATGGTTTGCTTCATATTTTTTAAAACTTTCTTTCATATATGGCTTTAATTATAAAGTTTCTTTTCATGCAATTAAAAATATTTTAATGAACTCATTTTCAGACAGTTGCAGATTTACAGAAGAATATGAAGATAGTATACAGAGTTCCCGTAGCCCTCACACTGTTTCACCTGTTATTAATATCTTGTAGTAGTATGGTATATTTTCACTGTTAAGGAACCAATATTTAAAGTCCATACATCATTCATGTTTCCTTCATTTTAATCTAATGCTGTTTTTCTGTTTCAAGGTGTCATTAATGATACTACATTATGTTTACTTGCATTGTCTTCTTAGGTTCCTCTTGGCTGTGGCATTTTTCTCAGATTGTCCTTATTTTTGAAGATTTTAACAGTTTTGAGGAGTACTGACGAGGCATTTTGTAGAATGTCCCTAGATTAGGATTTGTCTGATGTTTTTCTCATGATTACACTGAGGTTATGAGTTTTGGGGAGGAAGATCACAGAAGTCTACCTTTGTCATTTCTATCACACCACATCAAGAATACATACTATCATGACTAATACTATTGATGATAACTTTGATTATCTGGCTAACTCAACCCTTTTTATTACTATTCTATTTTATGGATGCAACACAGTTTGTTTATCCAATCACTTCCTAAAAGACATTTAGGTCATTTACAATTTGGAAGATTATGAATAGTGCTGCTATAAATACTCACGTACAGATTTTGGTGAGAACATAGTTTTCCTTACTTTTGGGTAAATACTTTGTAGTGGGACTACTGAGTCACAAGGTAAGTGTAGATTTAACTTTACAAGAACTTGCTACACTATTTTTCTAACTGTCCATTTGGTATTTCCACCAGCAATGAATCACAATTTCTGTTCTTTATTGTCACTAATTTTGTTTTAGTATTTACAAAAGTTTTAGCCATTTTACTAGTGTATAGTGCTACCCCATCATGGTTTCAGTTTGCATTTTACAAATGGTAAATAATATAAAACTTTTCATGTGATTACTTGTCATCTACGTATTCTTTGATGAAGTAACTGTCATTTGTCTATTTTTGAAAGTTAGTTGTTTATTCTCTTTGTGTTGAGTTTCGATACTTTATTGCATATTCTGGATATGATTTCTTGGTCTTACAGGTGGTTTCCAAATATTTTTCCCATTGTTGCTTGTATTTTCACCATCTTAACAGAGCATGTCTTTCACAGAGAAAAATATTTCAATCTTAATGAAGACCAATTTCTTGATTTTTTTTTCTTTTGTAGATCATTATTTTGGAAGCCCAAGATCTCAAAAGTATTCAAGAATTCTTTAGCAAATCCTAGGTCTTAAAGATATTTCCTATGGCATCTTTTAAAAGTTTTTCAGCTTTATGTTTTACTGTTAAATTAACAATCCATTCTGAGTTAGTTGTTTTTTTTTTTTTTTTAGATAAAGCATGAGATTCAGCTCGAGTTTTTTTTTTTTTTTTTTTTTGTCTTTTTTGTCTATGGATATCAAATTGTTCTAACACTATTTGTTGAAAAGACATCTTTGTTGCATTGAACCCCTTTGCACATTTGTCAATAATAGTTGTCTGTATTTGTATGGGGTTATTATCTGGGCTCTCTCTTCTGTTCAACTGATTTATACGACTCTCTCTCTACCAATACCACACAGTATGATTACTATAGCTCTATAATAAGAAATTTGAAATCAGAATGAATAATAACCCCTTCATCTTTATCCTTTTTCAAAAATTTTTTGCTATTCTAGTTCCTTTACCTTGCCATGTAAGCATTAAAGTAAACCTGTTTATATCTAAAAAATATTTTGCTGGAATTTTGATAGAAATTGTATTATATCTTCCTGTGAATAAATAGATAATTGACATTTTTACTTGTTGAGTTTTCCAATTCATTAACACTGTATGTCTCTCCATTTATTTAGATCTTCTTTGATTTCTTTTATGAGCATTTTGTGGTTTTCAGTATATAGATTCTGCACAAGTTTTATTAGATTTCTAGCTATGCATTTCATGATTTTTGAGTGAATGTAAATATTATTTAAAAAATATGTCCAATTAATTATTAGTACTATGTAGAAAAACAACTGTGTTTTTGCTTATTGGCCTTGTATCTGATGGCCTTGTCCAACTCTTTCATTAGTTATATAATTTTTTATAGATTCCTTGATATTTTCTGTGCAATCATATCTCCTGTAAGTGGGGATTTTCATTTATTCCTTTCCACTCTGTGTATATTTTATTTCTTTTTCTTGTTATATTGAACTGACTTAATTTTCCAGCATGATATTGAATGAGACTGGTATGAGTGGCCATTTTTGTCTTACTCCCTATCTTAGAAAAAAAGGACAAAACAAAAAAGAAAACTAAATACCAATATCCCTGATGAACATAGATGCAAAAATCCTTAACAAAATACTAGCTAACCAACAGTATATCAATAGGATAATCCACCATAATCAAGTGGGTTTCATACCAGGGATGCAGGGATGGTTTCACATACGCAAGTCAATAAATGTGATACAGAACATAAAAATAATTAAAAATGAAAATCACGTGATCATCTCAATAGGTGCAGAAAAAGCATTTGACAAAATCCAGCATTTCTTTATTATTAAAACCCTCAGCAAATTCGGCGTACAAGGGACATACCTCAATGTAATAAAAGCCATCTATGACAAACCCACAGCCGACATAATACTGAATGGGGAAATGTTGAAAGAATTTCCTCTAAGAACTGGAACAAGAAAAGGATGCCCACTCTTACCACTTCTACTCAATATAGTACTGGAAGTCCTAGCCAGAGCAATCAGACAAGGGGAAGAAATAAAGGGAATCCAAATTGTTAAAGAGGAAGTTAAACTGTCACTGTTTGCTGATGATATGATCGTTTACCTAGAAAACCCTAAAGACTCCTCCAAAAAGCTCCTAGAATTGATAAATGAATTCAGCAAAGTTTCAGGATACAAAATTTACTGTACACAAATCAGTAGCTCTGCTGTACACCAACAGCAACCAAGCTGAGAATCAAATCAATAACAACACCTTTTACATTAGCTACAAAAATATATGTATTTTTTAATTCTAATTTTAGCCAAGTAATTTCCAGATTGTACAATTTTGCATTAGAACCAGTAGTGTACCAGAGTTTCACATCTCTGCTATTATTTGCTATTGTCAAGCTACTAAATTTTAACCCTTCAACAGGGCATGAATAGCAGTATCTCATTGTTCTTTCAATTGCTTGTTCCTTCAATTTGTATCTTGTTTTTTGATGAATATGGGTAGTGAGATCCTTTGCATTTGGTTTTCAGTAAGTCTAAAGTCTTCTTTTGTGAGGTGCTCATTAAAACATTTGACTCATCTTCAACTGCTTTTTTATTCTTATTGTTGACTTGTAAGCATTTTTTACATATTCTAGATAGTTCTTTGACACTACGTTTGCAGGTAGTTTCTATTAACTGCCTTTTATTTTCACAACACTGTCTTTTAAAGAACAGCTATATTTAATGTCAATAAAGTGAATTTATCATATTTCCATGATGCCTATGGTTTTGGTGTTCTAAGAAATCTTTGCTTGTGAAAATATTCTCCACCCCTGCACACACTCTGCTGAAGGCAAAGATATTTATACATTTGTATTTTGCTTGGATTTTACTCCTACTCACTCTCTGATCAGTATCCATGTTGCTATAATCTGGAATAATATTTCAAATTGCTGTTAAGGTAATTATTTAATAGTATCAATATTTATTTATATCTAACATGTTTAATTGATATGTGTGTTGTCTACAGCCATACCACCTGAACATACCAGATCTCTTCTAACTGATATGTGTGCTCTTTACTGCTTCTTGAAACACCCATTTTATTCTGAATCCACTTTTCTTTTTTTGCTGAAGTACATTCTCTATTAATGTGTTTAACAGGTGAACTTTCCGAGTTCTTGCATGACTAGAGAACCCTGGTCCTTGCATGGTGATAAAGATAGAAAACCATTCCTGATTTAAAGTAACTTTCTCTTTTCCTAGAAATTTGAAGCAAGCCTTATTCTCATTTTGTTGAATATAAATGATAAGTGTGAAAAAATGATGTGTTCGATTCTTAGTGAAGTATTTTAAAATAACAGTTCTACTAAGTTTTGGAGAAAGTCTCAGGCACTCTTCTTTATTTTCTTTTCCCTTTTGTTCTTTTAACTCAATGATTTTGGATCTACTTTTAGATGCATATTGGAAAGTCTTAATATATCCTCCATGACTGTTCATTTGTATTTCATATTTTATACCTCTTCACTTTTTTTAATTTTGTACAGGAAGATTTTCTTAGCTCCTTATCAATATCCATTCTGTTATTTGGACATTATATTAAGTTAAATTTGTTATTTGAATAGGTATATTTTATTTCCAAAATTTTGAATGTTTTTAAATAATTGCTTTTTATTTTATGTATGTGTCATTTCACTATTAAATGATCTTTTTCAGTTGGCTCTATTATTTGTGTTTCCTTGGCTGCTACTTTCACTTACTATCAAGCAGTATTCAACATTAGATATTTGGTGATAGGTACTTATTATCTACCACATGAGAATTCTGTGCTTCATGTGGGCTGCACAAACTCTGCAGAAGATGGTGTATTGGGGCCCTCTGTAGCTGTGGGAGGCTGGTTGCCTTCTCTTAGTAGCTGAGACCGCGGTGGTTTGTTTGTTTTTGTGAGGTTTTTTTCCCCCATGGGTTGGCTATGGACACTTGCTAATACTGTGTGCATTATAGCCCCAAGAGAGTTCAGCCACTGAGGCTGTCAGGCACCACATTTCTCCATCTTCCTAGTGAAGTAGCCAATGGTGCTCTGAGAAAGGCCTCCAATCTGCCTTGGCTTTCTACTTTGGTTTTATTTTTGCTATTTTCTCTCAAACAATGCATCAGGGAATCAGTCCACAGATAATGCCCATTATTGGTTTTCAAAATGTATTAATTTCTTTCTTTCATTTTCTTTTCTACAGTATTGGAGTTGTTGTGCCTTGAAGCTAGAAACTGCCTTGAATTTCTACATAGGGAAATGTAATCTATTGCTTTCTTACAGGTAAACGTTTATCATGCAAATATTGCTCTCTCCTTGGCGATACCTTGTTGGTAGAAGTAGAATTTAAAATATATTGTAAGTATTTTTATATGTATGTTTCCAGAATAGACGATGAACACTTTGAGGTCAAGGACTATATGTTAGAAACTGTTAGTAGGCTACTTAATATCAATTCTCACCTTTTTATTTACTAATGAAGCTACACTTTATTTGGGGGAGCCAGGTGCCAGGTGAAAATATATTCTCTGCTTCCTTTGCAGCTAAAAGTAGACATTTGACACAGTTTTGGACACTAAGATATAAACAACTCACTGGGTATGGTTTCTGGGAAGGTTCTTTATTGGAGGATGACCCAGCTGGCATGTGTATCGTTCTGCTCTTTGTCCTGCTCCTTCTTCCTGCCTGGAATGTGGACATATCTATAGCTATAGCATCACTGCTGCCTTCATATCTGATACGAGACAGAGTTTATCATTCCTACAGATATGAAAGAAAATCACCATCCTATAATATAATTGTGCCAACCAAAGTCATATGCCCATATCTGAAACAAGATAAGATGTCTATGTATCATTATAAGATGATTTATATAAACCTAAGTTCCTGGAACGTTAATTCTCTAGGGAAATACAACTCTTCTAATTGGCTTACCCTAAGCAACACATGTTCCTGGATCTGAAACCATTATCTTCCCAACTACATGGCTGCTATCTGATGAGGAAGCAGTAAACAAATATTATTAATAAGAAGTTATCCACAATATGGACTCTATGTTTCATATTGTCAGTTATTCAACATACATTTATCCCTTCTTTTACTTACACATTAAAAATTTTCATGCCTGCATAAAATTAATTTACTCCATAGGAAGATAATCTAAAGCTTCCCTTCATCTAACATAGTTCACGTAATCTCTTAAGAATATTCTTAAGCATGACTTTTCCCACAGTGTTTTCCCTGGGATCCTCTTCCCCACACCAGGTTATCTGTCTTCCTCTGTGCTTTTAACTCACCTTTTGGTACCATTATCATTTCACTTGTCTCACAGATGGAACTCTTATATTATTTGTCTGATTACTCTAACTAAAAGACCATCTTATTGTTGCTACACCATGTTCTATTTATCTTTGTATACTTAGTTATTAATTCAGTATTTAGATATTCAATAATTATTTGTTGATTCATGAATGACTCTATCAAGTATATATTAGTTCATGCTTTCTATGAGCCTATGCATTATTGGAACATCAGGAAAGGGAACAGGGACTAGATATAGCTACTGAAATTAAAGTTTTTAAAAATTTTCCATTATTCTAACATTTAGTAATTAAAGTGTCATTGTAAATATGCTAATTGCTCTAAGCTTAGAATGGCCATACAATAACAAAAGACATTTAAAATATAACTCTCTTCTGAAAAACAATAATTGACTACTTTTAGGTTAAAACAAAATCCAAGTCTTAAAATAACTAATTGCTTAACTTTTCATGTGCACCTCTCTCTCAGTTTCACACACAAGATGCACATACACATTGAAATGTCAGCCTTTATGTCCTTAGAATGTTCAGTTAGGTTGTGATGATGCTACACAAATATAAGATATCCTAGCAGCATAGGACGCCTAATTGTATTTATTTAAGTGCTTTAAATTCTACCATTTCTCTTCTTAAAGAATAGTTTCTATAATTATTTTATTAAAAAAGAACAATAGTAATTATGCCATGGCAATATATTATTCCTAGAATTTTCTAATAAAAAAGGACAAACACTCAAAAATCAAAATCTTATTTTTCTGGAAAGAAAAGCACTTTCTAATTAGAAATCATTAATTTAAATGAATGTGTAAATAATAAGTTTATAAATGTAGCATAATGAACTAACTTCTATTTAGGAGAAAAAAGCAAACATAGTTACAGACATGGCACACACCCAGCTGATTTTTAAACAGCAAACAATAGCCACAAATATACATTTTTAAATTCTGTCTATACGTCTCTCCGTATGGCTCTAAATAATGTCCAGGTTAAATGAAAATGTTCCCAATTGAAGTGTACCATTATCCATTCTATCCTTTATCAGCTTCACATGTACAGTTCTAAGGTAAACATGCATTGTATACTTGGAAATTTTGATTTCAAACCTTGACAGCACATTTCCAAAGGTATAACATCTTAATCAAATTTAAAAATAAAACATCCCAGTGTTGAGCTTGGTTGTAAACCTAAAATTATATAACATACATGTTTTTATGCTTTGTCAATTACATTTGAAATAGGGGACTGTTTGTTTCAGCCCTTCTAAAAATGAGACGAGGATGAGAAAACAACCTATTTCCTTATTAGGTTCAGGAGTCAAAGGACTCAGCCAGGAGCCGCAGGCTTCAAGAGCATAGAAGATTAAGACATATATTGGATTCATGATGGAGGGCAGAAAGTTCATTTTCAAAATAAAACAGAATTTTATTCATATTCCTTTTAAAATTCAGATTGCCATTTGCCAGCTGACCTGTGACACAGCAGCAGTGTATTACATTTTCAATGAGCAGTCTGTCTGGAGCTGCTAGTGGGAGAAACTGCTTCCTGGTTTCTAGGTTTGTATTTGTTTTTTAAGTAAGATATTTTTGTCAGAATTTTAGTGGGTGCAAACAGGGGCAAGGTAACATATTTATTTTTAATAAGGAGGAGATGTAAAATAGTATAGTCATCAGCATTATGCATGGAATAATCCTGTAAAAAAATCACAATTCAGGTAAAATGCATACATGGGACTGTCAAAAATGAGGATGCCGGCATCTCAATGAGAAATAAGGGCAGGCCAAAAAATGAATCTTTATTTAAAAAATAAATACATGTGAATGCTTTTTAAAACAAGTTTTGGTAGAGTGCAAGTCAAGCCAAGGTTTTCTATAGTCAGGGACTAGATTTATCCAGCTCACCATCTGTCAAAATTATATTATAGACGACACATATGCATAGATACAAGACCACTGATTTTCATATATATTAAAACCTGAAACTACTGCACGATATGAAAACCTACAAATTGTTAAGCCCAAAGGCTTACATCTAGAACTTTTTTCCTCCACATTGTTTTATTTTTGTTCTCTTCCTGACCTGCATTTAGGAAAAATGGACACATAGTCAATGAAAATATACAAAAATTAAACTTCATTTAGGAAAAATCAAAACAGAAACTTTTAGATAACATAAAAATAAGAGAAGAGATGTACACTTCCCTAATTTTTGGGCCTGATCTTGTGGGTGAATATATCCAGTACATATCTCATGATGCAGGAAAGTGAGTTTCAGATGAGGGTCAAGACAATTTTTAATATAAAACAAACAGAAGTTATGCTTGTGAAAATAGAGAGCAAGCAATAATGATGACACATATGACTAGTTGAGTTGACTTGAACCAAGACAATGCTGTTCATATTTCACCTCTGAGAAGAGCTTTGTGATAAGAGTTACTTGTGTGCTATTTTGTTAACTTCTCACATGAGAAACAAAGGGAGACAAGCATAGCAGTTTTGCCATTTGGTACCATATCTTTAAAGTGGAAAGAGGAAATTAAAAAAAAGGAAACCCCTAGCCTCATATTTTGTTTGAATAAATAGTATTTTTATCACATATTATAAGAATAACAAATTTTTCAGTTAGAAAATACTGGCTTTAATCTATTTGCTTCATTTAAATAAATGATCGGTCATAAGTACAGCTCTTAGAGCTTTCTTCTGTCACTATAGATGAAATTGTGAAATTGTGTTCTGCCCTGAGATTTTAAAAAAATTGTCATTGAATGATATAATTATATCATCTTATCAATAATAACACAAACTTCTCATATTATAAAATTATTTTAATGCTTACTTTTTATTAAATAAATGTTTTCAGGTAAAACCCTGAGAATTTATTTTTTTAATGACAACAGAAGTAAATTGAATGACAATTGATTTCACTTTAAGACCAGCTGTCTTAAATGCCAAGTATTTCTATTATAATTTAGAATTTATGATAAAAAAGGAAGAGAAAACTGAATAGCCTACTTAAACGCTTCCCAAATGTATTTGCATGTTTATCACTGCAGTTTAGTTTCTGTAAAATCTCTGAATTATGATCCATAAAGTATCAAAGGCCATGCAACTTCTTAAAGATAATCTGCAAATAAAATTTCATTTTTGTGTTTTTTCACATTTAAATTAGATAAACATAGTTTCTTTTCATGAAATGCTAAAATACTATTGATTTTAAACATTTAGGTTTTTTGGTATGGTTTTGTAGCCAATGGGGAAACTGAAGACATTAGTTTGTTATAAGCTTTGTTACATTTTAATTACTAAAATACAGTTTCTGTATTATTTGAAACAAAAGAAAAATCTTTTGACTCCCCTGAAAGAGAAAGACAAAAAAGAAGGAAAGAAGGGAGGAGGGAAGGAGAGAGGTAGGGAGAGACAGAACAAGGGAGGGAAGGAGAATAAAAAAAGAAAAAAAAATAGATTCCTTAAACAAATAAACAAATTTTAAATGCAATAGAAGTACTTTGGGATAATTTGATTCGCATGTGCCATATGTCAAATCATACACTCCCCTTCCCCCAAACACATATCCCAAACACTACCCAAAGCCTGCAAATCCTGATATTCTGGCTTTGTCTATGCCAAAATATTAGTCCAGTCTGCCTAAACTTAGTGCTATAGAAGAGATTGTATTACATAGCATAAAAATGACTGTCAAAGTTGGTGAAATTAGTGTCTTTTGAGCTATAATATGTTTGGCATATGTCACTGGAAATGTTTTCCAGTAGCTCACACAAGCACCAAACACAATTTTGAGTTTCTTTCTATTGAGTTTGCAATAAATTAATTTATTTTAATTTTTTTAAAAAGTTGCAAGCCAGAGACTTAGCCAATTGAAAAACAAAACAAAACAAAAAACCCCTCAAAAACCCAGGCACCAAATTTAGCAATACAATAAGATTGAGATTGCTCCTTCACAGAGCTAATTCTCCCAGAATCCACTGTTCGTCTCATCACTCCTTATAAAATACAGAATCCTTAATTGGTCTGTGCTTCTCCAACATGTTTTTAATGAAAACGCAGCACATAACTCTTAGTTTGTTGGCTGCCAGAGCCCAATTTACAAAAGTGGGAGTGCGAGATAAGAAAAGAGTACATCTGCAGAGCAGGCTGCGCAATGAATCACACGGTGCCAGAGTTGAGTAGAATATAATTGAGTCCAACATCTCTGAGCACTTTCACCATAATTAATGATAATCTGTAACAGAGGAATCTGAGATTCCAGTTCAGAGAACTGTTTAATTAGGCCAAGTAATGAAAGCAGAAGCAGTACAAGAATATGGCCTGTCTCATGATTAATGATTCATGCTACTGAACACAAAAGTGCCGCACCGTTAACTCTAACGGATGCTGCATCTCTCTGGCATTTACAAAATAGTGAAATGCATGCATTTTTGTACTTTAAAGATGTAACTGGCAGTATCCTTTTCTGAGCTATTTACGTGATAAATATGGTTCCGAAGGTAACTGTCTTCTTCACAGGTTCTTTGCTCTGGGGTAGTTTAAGATAAATATGGTATCTGCCTCTACATCAGTATTAAGGTAAGTGCCATTCCAGTACAGGATCATTAACACTTTCACTTTCACTTTCCAAGTCAGTAAAACATTATTTTCAGTCTTACTTTGGTTTTAAAAAGATGTATCTTTTATGGACGAAATCACCCATCTTAATATTTATATAATATTCACTTAATAATACAATAAAGAAAAACTAGGTTAAGAATCAATCATAAGGTAAAGAAGATATAAAGCATGTTTGATAGTTATTATTTGGGGAGGTCAGCGTATAATACGTCCTCTCAGTGTAGAACAAGTTAACATTGAGATTGTCCTGCAAGTATGGGGGACAAGACAAAAGAAAGAATGGTTTGCCTGAGGCCTTAACTTACAAGCCTGTGAATTATATAGGTTTTATGCCACTCCTTGTTCTGCTTTTCAATAAAATAAAGAATAGTGCTTCTAAGAGGAATTGCAGAATTGCACCTTACATATGCAAGGTCTGTAAGAAAACAACCGTCAGAACAAAGCATGCACATTCTACATATGACAAAATTGGGACTATTCAGATGCTTGCTGCAGAAACTTCTATGATTTGGCACCCATTGACATTCATAGTGATTCAGGAGGCAACTTTACCTGTTACATGTATTAGAAGTAAAGCTGTCTAAATGCTCCACTATCCTTATCCTGCCTTCCAATACACATGGAAGTTAGTCAAACACAAAAATGCAACTCACATTTGACATTCGGATTATCTCCTGTTGGCGAGATAGAATATATGATCTCATAGAAAATGTAATACCAGGGTTGGGTTGTCAATAAGCTTGAATCCATGTAACCCCAGAACAATGGGCAGAGACACAAAACTTTAATTATTACCTTCAAGTAGGCCAAAGGAAAATCCCCCACTTTTGTACATCTTTCACTCAATCTAAAGAGAGGTTTGATCTTCTAGGGATGTTTTGTAGAAAATTCGTGGTTACAACATAATGAAAATGTAATAGTTTTATAAGAAGGCATTAAAGGACCATACTTTACTCTAAAATTAAAATATGTAGAGAGATATATTTACCTAAATCTTAATATACACACTTCAAAAATCAAATTTTGTTTTGTAGGAATACTCTTTTACAAGAATAGGTAAATTTCTTTTCTTACCTACGTAAATATTTAGGTGGGCTGTATTTATACATAGAATGATTGATTTGTATTATAACTATCGATAACATATGCATCATATAAAAGAAATAATTTTCTTTTAAAAATGAATATAGTTAATCACAGGCTTCAAAGGAATTCCTACATATTCTTTAGCTTGTTTGAATTTTGACATATTTTTACATAATTTTATATATTCAGATTATTTGCAAATCGCATTGTTATTGACTACATGTCATGTTGTGGAAGATAGAAAGGGGAAAAATGGGCTTTATGATACGTGACATTTTCAAAGGAAGAAATCACATTAACAACTTTTTTATAATGCACAAAATTGGCCAACATTTTTAAAACAATTTCTGTGTGCCAGGCACTGGGCTACAAAATTTCATACATTCCTAATTTATTCTTTATAACAAAAAACCTAAAGAAATAGTCACTATATTAGTCTGTTCTCACACTGCTTGAAGAAATATCTGAGGCTGGGTAATTTATCATGGAAAGAGGTTTAACTGACTCACAGTTCTGCAGGGCTGAGGAGGCCTCAGGAAACTCACAATCATGGTGGAAGGAGAAGCAAACACATCCTTCTTCACATGGTGACAGCAAGGAGAAGGGCAGAGTGAAGTGGGGTGGGGGGGGAAGCCCCTTATAAAACCATCAGATCTTGTGAGAACTCACTCACTATCATGATGAGAACAGCATGGAGGTAACCACCCCATGATTCAATTACCTCCCACCAGATCTCTCCCACAATAGGTGGAGATTATGGGAACTACAATTCAAGATGAGATTTGAGTGAGGACAAAGCCAAACAATATTATTCCACCCCGGCCCCACCCAAATCTCATTTCCTCATATTTCAAAACACAACCATGCCCTTTGAACAGTCCCCCAAAGTCTTAACTCATTCCAGCATTAACCCAAAATTCCAAGTCCAAAGTTTCATCTGAGACAACGTAAGTCCCTTCCATCTATGAGCCTGTAAATCAAAAGCAAGTTAGTTAATTCCTAGATACAATGGGGATATAGGCATTGCATAAATACAGCTCTTCTAAATGGAAGAAATTGGCCAAAACAAAGGGGCTACAGGCCCCTTGCAAGTATAAGATCCAATAGGGCAGTCATCAAACCTTAAAGCTCCAAAATGATCTCCTTGGACTCTATGTCTCACATCCAGGTCACCATAGTCTTGGATAGCTCCAGCTCTGTGGCTTTGCAGGGTACAACCTCCCTCCTGGCTGCGTTCTTGGGCTGGCATTGAGTGCCTGTGTCTTTTCCAGGTGCATGATGCAAGCTGTCAATGGATCTACCATACTGGGGTCTGGAGAACCGTAGCACTCTTCTCACAGCTCCCCCAGGAAGCACCCCAGTGGGGACTCTGTGTATGGCCTCAAACCACACATTTTCCTTCTGCACTGCCCTAGCAGAGGTTCTCAATGAGGACCCTTCCCCTGCAGCAAACTCCTGCCTGGACACCCAGGCACTTCCATACATCCTCTGAAATCTAGGCAGAGGTTCCAAACCTCAATTCTTGACTTCTGTACACCTACAAACTCAACACCATGTGGAAGCTGCCAAGGCTTGGGGCTTGCACCCTCTGAAGTAATGGCCTGAACTATATGTTGGGCCCTTTTAACCATGACTAGAGCAGCTGGGACAAAAGGCAGCAAGTCCTAGGCTGCACACAGTAGGGGGGGCCCTGGATCAGGCCCAGGAAACCATTTTTTCTTCCTAGGCCACTGGGCCTGTGCTGTGGGGTTGCTGTGAAGTTCTCTGACATGCCCTGGAGACATTTTCCCCATTGTCTTGGTGATTAACATTCAGCTCCTTGTTACTTATGGAAATTTCTGCAGCCAGCTTGAATTTCTCACAGAAAATAGTTTTTTGGTTTTTTTTTTCTATCACATTGCCAGGCTGCAAAGATTCCTACCTTTTATGCTCTGCTTCCTCTCGAATGCCTTTCTACTTAGAAATTTCTTCTGTTGGCCAGGCGCAGTGGCTCACGCCTGTAATCCCAGCACTTTGGGAAGCTGAGGTGGGTGGATCACGAGGTCAGGAGATCGAGAACATCCTGGCTAACACAGTGAAACCCTGTCTCTATTAAAAATACAAAAGAAATTGGCTGGGCGTGGTGGTGGGCGACTGTAGTCCCAGCTGCTCAGGAGGCTGAGGCAAGAGAATGGCATGAACCTGGGAGGCGGAGCTTGCAGTGAGCCAAGATTGCACCACTGCACTCCAGCCTGGGTGACAAAAACAGAAATTTCTTCCATCAGATACCCTTAATCATCTCTCTCAAGTTCAAAGTCTGGGGCAGGGGCAAAATGCCACCAGTCTCTTTGCATAGCAAGAGCGATCCAGTTTCCAACAAGTTCCCCATCTCCATCTGACACCACCTCAGAATGGACTTCATTGTCCATAACACTATCAGCATTTTGGTCAAAGCTATTCAACAAGTCTTTTAGAAGTTCCAAACCTTCTCATATCTTCCTGCTATCTGAGCCCTCCAAGACTCTAGAAAGTTCCAAACTTTCCCACATTTTCCTACGTTCTTCCAAGCCCTTCAAACTGTTCCAACCTCTGCCTGTTACCCAGTTCCACAGTTGCTTCTGCATTTTCAGGCATCTTTATAGCAACACCCACTCTCTGCAGTACCAATTTACTCTATTAGTCCATTCTCATGCTACTATGAATAAATAACCAAGACTGGGTAATTTATGAAGGGAAGAGGTTTAATCGACTCACATTTCCTCAGGGCCAGAGAGACCTCAGGAAACTGACAGTCATGGTGGAAGGGGAAGCAAACACAACCTTCTTCACATGGTGGCAGCAAGGAGAAGGGCAGAGCAAAGGGGAGGGAAAAACCCCTTATAAAACCATCAGATCTAATGAGAACTCACTCACTATCATGAGAATAGCATGGATAAAACCGCCCTCATGATTCAATTACCTCCCACCAGGTCCCTCCCACAATAGGTGGGGATTATGGGAACTATAATTCAAGATGAGATTTGGGAGGGGACACAGCCAAACTATATCATTACTATAATTATTTAAACTTTATAGATGAGCAGATGCAAGCTAGTTCATCAGCGTAGAAAAACATTTTTAAAATAATATCAATGCAAGTTTACAGATATATTTCTTAAATATAAGAAGACCAGAAATGCCATTGTGGCTACAAAGTTTCATCAGGGACTCAGAATTCTATCCTTCTGCTCTGCCTTATGCAGCCCATCACCACATGGTCAAAGATGGCTGGTAGACTTCCAGGTATTACATTCATACTGTAAGCAGCAGGAAAAGTGAGGAAGAAAGAAGGATTTTGCCCCATTTTTCCAAGAAAATTTCCTATAATTTCCACACAACTTTCCTCAGTAAATCATATAGGGCATAATCTAGCCACATAGTCCATGTTACAAAAATCTAGGCTAGTAATACAGATTTTAATCTTGGCTCTAAACTCAAATTTAGGTTTGCATCACTAAGGAAGATGGGAACACTAGAGACTTGATAGTGAGTTAACATTAGGTGCCATAGAGTGATCTAGTGACTTTTTTTCTTATTGTGCAGGCATTAATGGAAGAATCTAATTTTGTAAACATGTCTATTTGAATCAAAAGCTGTATTTTCAGCTATTGTCATATACATAGTGGTCTCTTAAATATATATTTAATTTTATTAGTTTTAACTAAATGATAATTGGTGGAAAATTATGTCATTATTTTTTTGTTAGCATTCATTAGAAAAATGAGCATTTTAACACAAGCAAAATACTATTTGTTTGGTCTTTCAAATTACCACTTGAAGGTATTAGATGTAACTCTGAAAGGTAGGTAGATGGGACTTTGAACTTGAGAGAGATGATTCAGATAACAGGCAGGTAGATGGGATGACCAGTACATTTAGCATTAACTACCAACAATACATTTTCTTTTTTTTAATTCAATATCTACATGAGATTTTTTAAAAATAAGTGAACTAACATACATCCCGCAAGTTTTGAGAATGTTGTTTTTAGTTATATATGTGGAGACAATTACTAGTTAATAATAACACACACCTGGTGATAGTTTTAGCATGCCATCAGGTAGCAAATATGTCACAATTTCAGAGATAAAAAATATTAAAATATGCACCTGAGAATAGGTGAAATACAACATACTCATTGAAATGAAGAACTAAATGGATGGATCCAACAAGAAAATAGATAGAAACTGAGAGAAACTGAGTATATGTAATATACTTGAGGAAATAAAACAGAACTCAGATGAAATGAGAGAAAATATAAAAAAGAGATTCAGTATATAAAAAAGAGATTAAGATTAATCTCCTTTGACCAGTATATTATTAACTGGTCATTGTCTCCACATGTTTAACTAAAAACAACATTCTCTAAACTTGCAGAATGTATGTTAGTTCAGTTATTTAAACACTAGAATGAGAAAATTTACTGTATGTCTCTGAAGAGTGATAGAAAAATAATATGAACATTTAGGAAGAAGGTCTATTGAAAGAAATAATAGAGATTTTCCAAAAGGTAAAAAACAAAACAAAACAAAAGCCAATGAGTCTTTAGGTTCAAAAAGCTCACTGTGTTATGAGATGGACAACTTAAATCCAAAACAAAAACTTTAGATTTATTGACATAGGATTTCAAATTTTTAAAGAAAAAGAAAATTTAAAAGTAGCCGAGATTAAAAGACAAATTATCTAAAAGTGAATAATAATTTGAATGACAGGGAATATCTCCTTGCAGCAACAAATGCCAAGGTTTAGTGCAAACGCATCATTAAAATGATACTATTTTACTTTGTGAAAATATAATGATAATTATATTCAAATACAAAATATTGCATTCAAATTATTTGTTCACAGTAAAATATTTCAATTTAATTATTTATACCTAGTTAAACTTTCAACATACAGTGTCATGCAAATGATTACTGAAAGATTTTAACAGTTATAGAAAATATTCTGCTTCTGTGACACAAACTGAGTCAAGCAAGCAGAGAACCCCTGCCTCCACTTCCCCAGCACTAGGTTAGGTAGCATTTCCTGAGGAAAGAGGGGCAAGAACACAGACAGAAACCCTTTCTAAAGTGTCAGAGTTCCTGCTGAGGATGAAGCAGGAACATGGAGAAGACTCCTACAGTATGTAATCTCTACTATAAGCAGGTGATTATAACAGAGAAAAATGAAGCCAGTGGTGCACTAAAAGTCACTGCAGGACAATAAAAACCAAAACCAACTCAATTCCTAAATAGGTTGACTCAATCCACCACAAATGAAGAGGGGGTTCCTATTTCTCGACATACATACCTCAGTTTCTATATATTATGTTTCTATAGGCCATGTACAGCGATGAATAAAATGTTAAGAGATACTAAAAATGCGAGAACAAAAGCCTCATTTGATACCTGACAACAGAAGCCAACTGTGAAATGGCCCAGAGGCTTAGATTATTAGAGAGAAATTTAAAAATAAGTATAATCAATATGGTAAAGACTCTAGTGGAAATAATAGCTAATATACATAAATAAATAAATAATTTTAGTAGGGGGATAAAATTTTAAGAAAGTGTCAAATGAAAACACTAGAAATTTTAAAAACTACAATCACAGAGAGCAAGAATATCTTCAAGGGATTCATTCACCAGTTGATCAAAACTATCAAGAAAAACATGGTTGAATTTGAAGATAGATCAATGAAAATTATCTGAACTGAAACACAAGTGGAAAAAAGATAATTTAAACAAACTGACACAACATTAAAGAGATCTCAGACAATAACAAACATTCTAAATATATATAGCTGGAATATAAGGGGGAGAAAAGAGAGAACAGGGAAGAATAATGAAAAACATCAAACTGTATGTCCAAAAATCTCAAGAGCTCCACGCAGGGCAAATAATCCCAACATCATTATCTGGAAATATCGTATAAAAACTGCTAAAGCTTATGATATAAAGTTAATACTGAATTAGACAAATAAAAAAGATTAATCGAATAAATATGAATAATGATAAGAATTAGAAAAGACATTTCATGCAAGTCAGAAGAATGAAGTGAAACATGAAGTGCTGAAAGAAACAAAAGTGAAACAGATCTGTCAACCTAAAATTCTAAACATAGCAAAAATATTTTTCAAAAATGGTGAAATAACAACATATTGACAAATAAAACCTAGATTACAAGAAAAGGTAAAGGAAGTTTTTTACGTAGAATAACTATAATGTCAGACAGAAACATGAATCCAGGCAAAGAAATAAAAATTACCCGAAAATTAAAGTATGGAAGACATTTTTGTTGCTAATTTATCTAGAAGAAAAATGATAGTCTATAGTAAATATATTAGCAAGGTATTACATAAAGTAAAATATAATATAAAATAAGAACAGATAAAAAAAGAATTTGGGAGTATACTTTTATAGATTTATAGCTTATGCATGAAGCAATTTATAATTTGAAGGTGACTGTGATTAATCAAATATATACATATTTTTATATACATATATTACTATATATAGAGAGAAAAAGAGTAAACCTTAGGGTTACACAATTTTTAAATACCTATAAATAATAATGTGATTAAAAAGGAAAAATAAAAAATAATCAATTTCATTTAAAGTAGACCCAAAAAGAGGATGGAAAAATACTTAAACAGAAATTACTAAAAAGATGATAGACAAAAATATACCATAATAGTAATAATATTAAAGGTAAATAGTCTAAACAAACCAGTTAAAAGAAAGGCATTGTTAGGAAGGAGCCAGACATAATGATATGCTGCCTTCAAAAGTTTCACTTGAAGTATAGAAATCTAGACAAGTAAAAATAATGTATGAAGAAAATGTATTATGCAGACATTAATCAGGAAAAAGAAGATGGGGGTGGATACTTCAATATTTCAAAACAAAGCTTATTATTTGAGATAAAGAGGGACATTACAAGATGATGAAAGGGTGTATTCAGCAAGAAGAGACAGTAATATTAAATATAAATGTACTGCCTAAAAAGCATCAAAATTCATAAAGCAAAAGCTGATAGAAGTAAAAGTAGAAATTAACAGAAAAAAATCAAAATAATGATTGGTGATATCAACACTTCTCTACAAATCATCAATAGAAAAAGTAGACAAAAAACTATTAAAGTTATAAAAGACCAAAACAACAGTGTAAATCCAATTGGCCTAATTAATGATTACAGAAAGTCATCAGAATACATATTATTTTCAGGTGCATATGACATATTCATCAGGGTAAGTATATGCTGGAAAATAAATAAACTTAAAAGAAAATAATATAAATTGAAATAATACAAAATGTGTTCTTTGACTAAAATGGAATTCAACTGGCAATCGTTACCAGAAAGATACTAGAGAATCCTGAAATATTTGGAAATTAAATAACATATTTCTTAATTAAAAGAGGCTAAAGATGAAGTCATAAGGGAAATTATAAATATTTGGGATTTAAGAAAAATAAAACATTTGAAAATGTAGGGGAAGCAGCTAAAATAGTACTTAGAAGTAAAGGTAATTAAATTAAATGCTATAACTATTATTATATATTTATATGAAATTACATATACATATATGTATTCATATAATGTATTTGCTATTATATAGAATACATAATATATTGTGTTAATTATACATGAAATATATAATTATATAATTAATATAATTAAAATCAAGATATAAATTACAAAAGAGATTTTAAATTAATGGTATAAGGTTTTCACTCTAATAATGTAGGAAAAGATAATGTTAAACAGAAAGCAAATAGAAGGAAGGAAGTAATTAATGTATAAGATATCAATGAAACTGAAAACAGGGAATATCAACAAGAAAATCAGTCAAATAAAAAGCTAGCTATTTGAAAACATCAATGCAATTTATAAACCTTCAGCCGTCTTGACTGAAGAGAGAGAGAGAGAGAAAGGGAGTCTGAAAAAAGAAAGAGATAAAAAAGAGAAATTATTGTCAAAATATCAAGAAGATAAGCAGAATCTCCTTGTAGATATTACAGACAATGAAAGAATAATAAGGAAATAAATATTATGAACAACTTAAATACCATAAAATCAACAACTTCGATGAAATGTTATAACCTTGAAAGTCTCAAACAATCAAAGCTTGCTGTAGAAGAAATACATAGTCTAAATTGTTATATAAGGATTTGTGGAATTGAGTTTGTAGGTAAAATCCTTCAAATGAAGGAAACTTCAAGCCAACTTGACTTCACCGGTGGCTTCTACCAAATATTTAAGAAAGAAAAAATACTAATTCATCACAATCTCTTGCAGGAAATAGAAGAGAAGTGAAGACTTTCTAATCTTGTTATGAGGCCAGCATTGCTTTGATACCAAAACCAGGAAAAAGATAAGAAACCAAAATTGCAGACCAATATTTCTTAAGAACATACATGTAAAAATGCACAATAAACAATTAGTAAATTATATCCAGTAACAAGTGACAAAGGGGATATTACTATTGACCCCACAGAAAACACAAATAATCATCAGAGTATTATGGATGCCTCTATGCACATAAACTATAAAATTGAGAAGAAATGGATAAATTCCTGGACACATACATCCTCCAAAAACTGAGCCAGAAAGAAATTAAACCCCTGAACAGACCAATAATGAGCTCCAAAATTGAATCAGCAATAGCCAACTAACCAGAAAAAAAAAGTCCTGGACTGAACAGATCACAGCTGAATTCTACCAGATAAACAAAGAAGAGCTGGTACCATTCCTACTGAAATTATTCCAAACAATTGAAAAGAATGGACTCCTCCCTAACTCATTCTATGAGGCCAACCTCATCCTAATACCAAAAGTTGGCAGAGATAAAACAAAAAAGAAACCTTCAGGCCAGTATCCTTGAAGAACATTGGTGCAAAAATCCTCAACAAAATATTGGCAAACCAAATTCTGCAGCACATCAAAAAGCTTATCCACCTCAATCAGGTAGGCTTTATCACTGGGATGCAAGGTTGGTTCAACATACACAAATCAATAAATGTGATTTGCCAAATAATCAGAACTAAAGACAAAAACCACATGATTATCTCAAAAGACGCAGAAAAGGCTTTTGATAAAATTTAATATCCCTTCATGTTAAAAACTCTCAATAAACTAAGTATTGAATGAACATACTTCAAAATAATAAGAGCCATCTATGAAAACCCACAGCCAACATAACACTGAATGGGAAAAACCTGGAAGCATTCCCCTTGAAAACCAGCACAAGACAAGGATGCCCTGTCTCCCCACTCCTATTCAAAATAGCATTGGAAGTCCTAGCCAGAGGAATTAGGAAAGAGAAAGAAATAAAGGGCATCCAAACGGGAAAAGAGTAAGTCAAACTATCCCTGTTTGCAGACAACATGGTCCTATATCTAGAAAACCCAACAGTTTTAGCCCAAAAGCTTCTTAAGCTAATAAACAACTTCAACAAAGTCCCAGGAAATAAAATCAATGTGCAAAAATTACTAGCATTCCTGTACACAAACAACAGCCAAGCTGAGAGCCAAATCAGGAATGCAGTCCCATTCATGATTGCCACAAAAAGAATAAAATACCTAAGAAGACAGCTGACCAGGAAGGTGAAAGATCTGTACAAGGAAAACCACAAAACACTGCTCAAAGAAATCAGAGATGATGCAAAAAACATTCCATGTTCATAGATAGTAAGACTCAATATCATAAAAATGGGTATACTCTCCAAATTTATAGATTCAATTTTATTCCTATTAAACTATCAATACATTTTTCCTATAATTAGAAAAAGTATTTTAAAATTCATATGGAACCAAAAAGGAACCCAAATAGCCAAGGCATTTCTAAGCAGAAAGAACAAAGCTGGAGGAAGCATGCTACCAAACTTCAAACTATATGACAAGGCTACAGTAACCAAAACAGCTTGGTATTGGTACAAAAACAGGAACATAGACGAATGAAACACAATGGAGAGCCCAGACATACCTGCACCTATCTGATTTTTGACAAAGTTGACTTAAAAATAAAGCAATGGGAAAAGGACTCACTCCCTATTTAATAAATAGTGCTGGGATAACTGGTTAGCCATATGCAGAAGATTGAAACTGGACCCCTTCCGTACATCATATACAAAAATTAACTCAAGGTGGAATAAAGACTTAGTTGTGAAACCCGAAACTATAAAAACTGGAAGACTACCTAGGCAATACAATTCTGGGCATAGGAACAGGAATGGGCAAAGATTTCGTGACGAAGATGCCAAAAGCAATTCCAAAGAAAAAAAAAACTATCAACAGAGTAAATAGATGACCTACAGAATAGGAGAAAATATTTGCAAACTGTGCATCTAATGAAAGTCTAATATCAAGCATCAGTAAGGAACTCAAACAAATTTACAAGAAATAAACAAACAGCTCCATTAAAAAGTGGGTAAAGGACACGAATGGACACTTTTTGAAAGAAGACATATATGAGGACCACAAGCACATGAAAACGAGCACAACATCCCTGATCATTAGAGACATACAAATCAAAACCACAATGAGATATTATCTCACACCAATCAGAATGGCTGTTATTTAAAAGTCAAAAAATAACACATGCTAGTGAGGTTGTAGAGAAAAAAAAGGAACTTATACAACTGTTGTAGGGAGTGTAAATTAGTTCAACCATTGTGAAAAACAGTGTTGCAATTCCTCAAAGACCTAAAAACAGAAATACCATTTGACCCAGGAATCCCATGACTATTAACAGGTATACACCCAAAGGAATATAAATTATCCTATTCTAAAGACACATGCACACATATATTCACGTATATTCATACACACATATTCACTATTCACAATGGCAAAGACATGGAATCAACCTAAATGGTATACTGAATAAAGAAAATGTGTTACATATGCACCATGAAATACTATGCAGCCATAAAAAGAATGGGATCATCTTTTTTGCCACAACATGGGTGGAGCTGGAGGTTATTATCCTTAGCAATCTAATTCAGGAACAGAAAATAAATATTACATGTTCTCACTTATAAGTGGGAGCTAAATGATGAGATGTCAGGGACACATAGAGAGGAGCAACACATACTGGTGTCTACTGGAGGGTGAAAGGTAGGTGGAGGGAGAGTGTCAGGAAAAATAACTAATGGGTTCTAGGCTTAATACCTAGGTGGTGAAATAATCTGTACAACAAACCCCCATGATACAAGTTTACCTATATAACAAATGTGCACATGTACTCCTGAACTTAAAAGTTAAAAAAACCCACCAAAACATGAAACACTTAGGTATAAATCTAATAAAGTATGTACATGTGTAAGCAAAAAACTATGAAACACTGATTAAAGAAATTAGAGACCAAATAAATGGAGACATGTTGTGTTTATTAGAAGTCTTGATATTAAGCCGTTAACTGTTCCCAGATTGATAGCAATATGAGATCCACTATTAGACTATAAGCTTTTTGAGAGTGGGAATGTTGTCTGGCTTGATGGCCTCATATATTTTAGGAATTCAGTAAACTTTTTGAATTGATTTAAAAATAAAAGAACATGATTTTCGCTAAAAGCACATTTATAGTATTAGGTCACTAATGTAATAAAACAATCACATGATTACATAACCCTGTTTTTTATAAAAATTTCATTTTTTTAATATGAGATCATAAATGTGAGAGAAGCTATGACATGTAGGCTTAATAAGTTTTTCTTACATTTTATGATTAAGAGGTAATTAATCAATGGAAAGCAGCATAATGAATAAGGTATGGAACACAAATTGTAAATGAATATAGAATTCAATAAATATTTGTGAGATTTTAGATTCTTTTTCAGCAATGTATAACATAATCAGCATTTAAGAGTAATAGCAATTTTCAAGTCAAGCTGATATAAAGTTTATTCATGTCTGTTTCAAAATATGATATTTTCTATTACGCTTATATTTTTAAAGGGGAGGCAGATGATGAATAAATGAACAAAAAATATAATAATGGATATGTATTTATAAGTGCTATGAAGAGAAGAAATCCAAGCAAGAAGAGAGTGAAATGAGGTAGGTGGATTTAGGATAAGGTAGGGTATTCTGAGAAAACTTCTCTGAGGACATGATGTTTCTGAGGACATGATGTTTGTAAATAGATTTGATTCACTAGAGAGCATTCACAAAGAAAGTAAGAGAAATTAGGTGGCAGAAGGAGCCAGGGAACCAAACCTGTAAGTTTTTGCAGACCATGGTATGACAGGAAGCCAATTCAGGTTTTTGGCATAAGTATGGTGTTGTTAGCTCTTCAAAATACATCCAAAAAATTCCGATCACTTCCAGTTTGATATTCTGATCTAGACCATTGTGGAATCTTGGTTGAACTCTTTCAAAAGTCACTGGTCTCTCTAATTGTACTTGTGTTCCTCTACAGTCAATTCAATACACAAAAAAACAGTGATACTTTTAAAACATCGATAAGGCTGGGCACGGTGGTTCACGTCTATAATCCCAGCACTTCAGGAGGCCGAGGCAGGTGGATCAGAAGGTCAGCAGTTTGAGACCAGCCTGGGCATTATGGTGAAACCACGCCCCTACTAAAAATATACAGATTAGCCAGGTGTGATGGCGCATGCCTGCAGTCCCAGCTACTTGGGAGGCTGAGGCAGGAGAATCGCTTGATCCCGGGAGGCAGAGGTTGCAGTGAGCCAAGATCGCACCATTACACTCCAGCCTGCCTGACAGAGCGAGACCCGGTCTCAAAAAACAAAAAACAAAACAAAACAAAAACACACAGATAAGATCCTGTTACTCCTTTGCTCAAAATCATTCAGTGATTTCCCTTGTCTCTAAGTAAAACTTTTCAATGGTGCACAAGGTTCCACTTCACTAATCCCTCTCTGCTCCTCACTTTATCTCTCAGCACATATCTTTCTGGTTTTCTGTCCCAGAATTCACAAACACATTCTTGTCTTTGGGACTCTGTGTGTGCTTTTCTCTCAGTTTGTGTTGACTTTTTCCTAGAAAGGCATACTTCTGCTCAAACATCCTTCATTACTTTGCCCCGGTTATGTGAATCCTTCCCTGATTATGCTCTATAAAACAACCTCACGCCCTTCTGCAGCACTCTTTAATTCATTTGCCATCATTTTTTTCTTCATAACATAATACGATTTGACAAGTTATTTTATACTTATACATACTATATTAGCTCAGGCTGCTATAACAACATGCCATAGACTAAATGCCTTAAACAACAGCTAATTTCTCTCAGTCCTGGAGGCTGTGCAGTCCAGGATTAAGAAGCTGGCTGATTCAGTTCCTGGTGCAGGCTGTCTTTCTGGTTTTTGGACAGACATCTCACTGCATCCTCACGTGGTAGAAAAAGAACTCTGGTCTTTCTCCTTTTACCTATAAAGGCACTAATCCCGTCATGAGGGCCACACCCTTCAACCCTTATGAACTTATGTAAACCTAATTATCTCCCAATAGTTCCATCTCTGAATATCATCACATTGGGAGGGTTAGGGTTTCAACATTTGAATTTTGGGAAAACACAATTTAGCCCATAGCAATCATCTACTCAGAAATTTTAAACCCTATGTGTGAATCCCTATATTAAGCATTTTGAGGGTTTTATTATCAAAAGAAGAGATTAAGAGTATTGTCCAGCTTCTAGTACAATGCAGTACACTACAAAGAGTATGATCAAAATTTAGCACTATTATACGAATATCTTTTTAAGGAGAAAAAAGATATTAAGTGTAGTTCTAAGTTAGAAATTAAAATCTAACATGAAGGCGTCTTTTTTCTCATGGCAATTATTATTTGTCTTATTTTTGTTAAGAAACTTACCTCAGGATTAATTTTGAAAAAAATATGCAGTTGAATTTTCTCAGAAAGAGATTTCTAGTATATGAGCTATGTGACAAGAGATAGTGACATATAAAAGAATGCCATTCTAGTTCATATTTTATTCTGGGAGATTAATCAGTACAAAGACTTCAATGAGGAGATTGGAAGAAAATCAGTAGTGTTGTTTTACCTCTAGTCAACAAACACAAATTGAACAAATCCAAAGTTACCCTTTTTTTCTCACATGTTTGTCTGGCCAATTACCAAACGCAAAGGCCATATTCAGTATCCTCATATATATTTTCAATTTTAAGAAAAAAAATTTTAATGGCCCTGACAGGGACAGTAATTAATTTATTTCATGTGTGAAATCTGTTAAATTCTGTGGTATATATTAAAATGTGTCTTTTCATAAACCCATTTCCTACATATTGACTTACCTTCTCTAGTGATCAGCACTGATCTTTTATTCATTGTGTGGTGTCTCATTTCTCAATCAAACCAAGTTTTATTCAAATAATAGTTTTCTTTCTTTAAATGTTGCAGGAAGATAATTGCATTTTATTTTGGAATAGGCTGGATGTTTTGGTATGTTATCTCTTCAAAATGGTGGTGAGCTTATCCTGTAAAGTACTGTAAAGACCTAATGCTACTGTTGTCTTTTGATATCTTATGTCTAATGTTAATAGGTAAAAACATTATAAAGCAAAAAATCATGTATGGTATGGTGATCACTTTTTATATAATCATTATAATATTTAATGATTAGCTTTAATTCTGAGGAAGAATTTGTATTAAAATGGCTTAGTCTAATCATTCAACCATATTGTATCTGAATACTTTCATTCTACTCTATCAAATATTATTCCATATAGAGATTTAACTATAAGCTGTGTTAATAGAGATATATTTTTAATATTCAGGAAAACCTCATACATATTCAGTTTTAATAGCTTATATTTTAAAAAATAACTTGATGTTATATCTAATAAAGACTGACTCATTCAGACAGTCATTTCTTGAATTCATTGTCCACTCAATCAACACATTAAGAGGTAATCGCTTTACAAACTATAGAACTATAATGAAATATAAATTAGTGATACCTAGGTATTTCAAACTCAAACACTTTTTCTGATTACTAGAAATGTTATCAATGGTGCATAGAACACTGCTGTGATCTACCCAGTTCTTTTGGCCCAAGGTACTCTAAGGTAGGACCAAGAAGGCTTACAGGGCAAGTGAAGCATAAGGCTCAAGACACAGTCACAGAAGCAGAAAGAGGCACTAGTTTCACAGAAGAGTTTAGTGATAAGTCACCATTAGAAACATTTATCTACAATAAGAAGAAAGAGGCTGCAACACACACTCGTATATAGGTCACTCTCATATTTGGCTCTTAAGTTCTGGGGTGACCTAATTTATTACCAATTTAACTTTTATTTCTTCATCATATTTCTAATTTTTCAATTATTTAGATAATACATTCTCATAATGGAAAATTGCAAAGATACAGGAAAACATAAAGACACAGGTAATACGCGTCCAAATCCCCATCATCAAGAAATAACAATGATTTACTTTTTCTTTCTTCTAAAGTCACAGTGGTTTTTTTTTGCCATTCCTGGAAGGTGCCAAGTGTGTTCTCCCCTTGAAGTCTTTGAACTGAAACACGTTCTACTTTTAAATAGCATGGTCAGGGGTAGGCTTTGGTGGAGGACAACTTGTTCTGAAAAGTTCTCATTTCTGGATGAGAAAGTGATATATGTAGCTGTTTAGCAGAAGAAAGAGAGGGAAAAAGGAAGAGCATTTCAGACAGAGAAAAGAACAAATGCAAAGAATAGTGCTTGGCATGTCTGAGGAAAAGTAAGAAGGTCATATGGCACAGTGGGGTGAGAAAAGGGTGCAGTAAACCAATATAAGGTTGAAGAGATGAGTTGAAGAACAAATTAAGTAGGGCCTTGAAGGCAACATAAGGAGGTTTGCTGTTACTTTTAGTAAAATGATGAGCCATGAGGGTTATAAGCAAAGGAGTCACAGATATTGCATACTTATTTTTTAATAGACTTTATTTTTTGGAAGAGTTTTGGTTAACAATGAAATTGACAGGAAGGTAGAGGCATTTTCTATATACTTTCTATTCCACACATGTATAGCCTCCCTCATTATCAACACTCCGTAGCACAGTGGTGCTAGTCTACATTGGCACATCATTATCACCCAGACTCTACATTTTACGTCAAGTTTACTCTTCGTAGTGTGCATTCTATGAATTTGAACAAATGTATAATGCCATGTATCTACATTATAGTATCATACAAAGTACTTTCACTGACCTCAAATTTCTCTGTGTTTCACCTATTTATTTTTCCCTCCCTCCCTCCTTCCCTCCCTCCCTCTCTTCCGCCTAACTCCTGGTAACCACAGATTTTTTTACTGTCTCTAATTTTTGCCTCATCTAGAATGTCATATACTTGGAATCATATACTATATAGCCTCTTCAGATTGGCTTCTTTCACTCACTAATACAATTTAAATTTCCTTCATGTAATTTTTTTTTTTTTTTTTTTTTTTTTTTGAAATGGAGTCTTGTCTATCGCCCAGGCTGGAGTGCAGTGGCGCGATCTGGTCTCACTGCAAGCTCTGCCTCCCAGGTTCACACCATTCTCCTGCCTCAGCCTCCTGAGTAGCTGGGACTACAGGCGCCCGCCACCACGCCGGGCTAATTTTTTTGTACTTTTAGTAGAGATGGGGTTTCACCGTGTTCTCCAGGATGATCTTGATCTCCTGACCTCGTGATCAACCGCCTCGGCCTCCCGAAGTGCTGGGATTACAGGCTGAGCCACCGCGCCCATCCTCCTTCATATAATATTTTTAAAAGATCATTTATAATCACTTCCAAAGAAGCCCTCATAATTGTTTCAATACTTATTATTTTTGGTTCTCAGTAAATTCCTTTTGTGTTTCCTCTAAATCACCATTTCTGTTACCACCAGTGCTCATTTTGTTATGGAAATACTGAATTATATTTGTTAACCTAAAAAGACATATTGTATGCAAATATGTGTTTGCATATGGACATTAATAAATATGGAAATAGTATGAAGTATGAATTGTTCTTTCTCCAGCCCACAAACTGAAGCCCCAAACTATCCCTGTTCTCTAATCTATTGTGCAACTGAGCAGCTATGTCTAAGTTTACTAAAAGTACCATTGCTGGGTAAAGATATATTCTTTATTTGCTGAAAATTTGGTAAATAGCCCGGGCTCAGTGGCTCACGCCTGTAATCCCAGCACTTTGGGAGGCCGAGGAGGGCTGATCACCTGAGGTCAAGTTCGAGACCAGCCCGGCCAACGTGACGAAACCCCATCTCTACTAAAAGTACAAAAATAAGCTGCGCTTGGTGGTGGGCGCCTGTAATCCCAGCTACTCAGGAGCCTGAGGCAGGAGAATCGCTTGAGCCTGGGAGGCCGAGGTTGCAGTGAGCCGGGATGGAGCCACTGCACTCCAGCCTGGGCGACAAGAGCCAAGAGCTGACTCTGTCTCCGAAAAAAAAAAAAAAAAATTGGTAAATAACTTGAGGGTATTCTGCAAAAAGGCTATACCAGTTTATACTTTCATGTTTAGTCTGTAAGAGTGTGTAATTCTGCAAATGTTTTCCAATGCTGAGAATTATTAATCTTTTAAGTCTTTGCCAGCCTGAAAGATTGTTAAAAAGTTGAATTAAGTTCATAAAACATTTCGAGGAAAGATACAATCTCTGTAATAGTTTTTCACTAAGAATATGATATATCCTCTCATTAAAAACAATATAAATAAATGAATGTAAATAATTTACAAACACAACAATAAATATATGAACATATAAAATCTAAAAATAAATACATAGTTCAATAAGGGTAAGCAATACATATGCACATGTGTATGTATGTGTATTTGTCAGTGAATGTATGCATATATGTGCATGTATATATGAGTACATTTGAATATGTGAATAGGTACATTCGTATATAAATGTATATATATTTGTCATTAACATTTCATGGTTTTCTTTCTCCAGGACCTACACATAGTTATTAAATAATTTGAATTTTCATTTTTTCTATTCACTATGAAAGAAATTTTTTTATTATATTTCTCTATGGTATTGCTTTCATTGAGGAACCCTTAATTTTTGAATATTTATTTTATTACCAGTCATTTTACTGAATTCTCTTGATTATCCTAATAATCGTTCAGTTGACTTACTTTGCTTTGCCAGGATAAGAATAGTATCACCTGCGAGTGATGATATTGCTGTTTTCCTTTCCTGTAGCTTTTGTTTTTTCTTTTCATGTATTGGTTAGATATCAAATGACAAATATGAGAATACAAAGATTATGAATTTTAATAGGAATTATACTTATTTTTTATCACTGTAGGTAATATTGACTGATATAAGCAAATAATAACCAGCTATTGTGCCAAGTGCTAGAAAACTCATGGTTAAAAACATGCCTGTTCACCAGAATGTAAGCTCGACTATTCATAACTTTAAAGAATGGTAGCATTTTTAAATAAATTAGAAATAAATTTCAAATATATCCAATTACCTTCTTAACATATTTTGAGAGGAGTTCATGTTTTTCTCCTTTTTGAACTATTGACGTGAAGAATTACATGAATACATTTCTGAATATTGGATTATCCTTTTTCATCTGTAGAAAATAGCACATTTGATGACTTCATCATTTTTAATACTCTAAATGGATATTTTTTAATATTATATTTATAACTTTTGAGTGAGTAGGTTGTAGAACTTCATAGTTTGAGTGTAGAGTTAGAAAAATCTGAATTTGTATCCCATTTCTTTCCTAGTTTAGCCTTGTATTCATAAGCTACTTCTCCAAACCTGCTAAGTCTTAGTATCTTTATGGATAATGAGATGATTATAAAATATCCTACCCTTTTAGATGGCTGAAGGTGTTAAATGCATGTAAAGTAATTAGTATAGATGCTAGCATGCTTAATAAATGTATATTCATAAATGTGACTTGTCAGTAGTTTTCCATTTTTTATCTTCTGCTGATAAAGTTTTTTTTAAATTAAGGCCATGAAAACATCTTAAAATTAATTAATTAATTAACTAACTCCTTTTAACTACCCTATGGAGTAAATGATATGTAAATTAATATTCCTTAAAATTTTGTAATGAATCACTCCCATGAAATATCTAAAATTGGTATAATTTCTGGATATGATTATTTACAAATTCAAATAATACTCAGCTTCATCAAAAGTAATTTGGGTAACATTGTCTCAAATTAATTTTAATAATTTATATTTTCTCCACTCCATTAGTTCCTTAGAGATTTCCACATTAGCACATGGTTGTAAGTTAGTAATTAGTTTAAATTCACATTATATGCATAGTTATAATCTTTTTTACATGTCTGTCACATGCTTGTTAACATTTTTTTTCTAATGACTTTTATTCATGTACCATATCTACATTTTAGGCATTAAGTTTATAATTATTTTTACTTTTTTAAATTTAGTAGCTTAATTTTTCCATGGTTTTTTTCTTCTTTCCATTTTTTGCCTAACTTTATGGATTAGATGCTTAATTTATTAATTTCTATTTGCATTCTTTAAAAACAAAAGCAATTTTGTCCATGATTCTGCAATGACGCACACCTTTGAAGGAACTGACATAACTGTTTTTAGACAACATGCTCTTTATAGTTATTTTCATTGATGATGTTTGATATCTTTTTGTTCAAAGTGTCAAATGAGATTGGTCATTGTGATTACTAAGTTGTTGCATTCTTCTTAAAGTGGTTGCATTTCTGCTTAAAGTTTTTTACGTTTTTTATACTTTTTTCATATTAATAGGAGACACTACTTATGTAATTCTTCATAAGATTACATGTAAAAAGGAAAAACAAAATACATGCTTGTTGTAAAATGTGTAAAATGAAAGTGTAAACAAAAAGTGAAAGTGCTTCTATCTCCAAATAACCATGGCCAATCATTTTTTGTCTGTTGTATTCTCTGAAATTGAATGCTGACACAGACTTTAGCATGCAGGATATTTCTTGGGGATCAACACTTGTGGAAGGTATGGTTGGAAGCAGGACTGAGTAGGTGGAGAAGTTGAACTGTGATGCAGGCTTGACATACCATCTTAGACAACCCATGTGGAACTCTGGAGGATATATGATATATGATATTTATAATTGTCCTATGTTGAGCCAAAATGACTGTCCTTATACCATCTCATACATCTGTTATAAGATTAGAGTATCCAATCCTGGGAAATGCTAGCCTTCATAAAAGGCTGCCCTCTGCAGCTAGAGGCTGTCTGCTGTCAGTTGCTAAAACAAGTCCTCCCTCCAAGGGGACATGGGAGTTGCAGCTTAGTGTGCTCTATGTCTTTTATCTTAAATCAATTTAGAATATTTTATTTAAAAATTTCATATACATTATAATTTTCATCTTAGTTTTTACCTTAACAATATTTTATTTTATATGTATTTCTAAGAGTTTTCTAATCCTTAACATACTTATTCAAAGTTATTTTTTGATGTCAAGATTTTTCTAATCTTAACTTATCTTTCAATTGGCTGTATTAAATCATTTACATGTTATTTTGAAAAGACATGAGGTATATTTTCTGGGCTACTGCTCAATTAAATATTTTTATAATATTCATACAAGAATAACAACCACTCTCAAACTTTTCTGTCTTCTGGCATTTAATGTTGCATATACATATTCACTTCTGCTTAAACATGTTAAGTGGTTACTTATCGTTAAATTTAAAAAAGCCTCAAGACTTGTGTAAATATGATCATCAATTATTACTTGGACTGTGATGATTAGAGAAACCAGGGAAGAATTATGATCAGATTTGCGTTTTTATAATAATCATCCTGTCTTTGATCTGAAGATTATATTATGAGGAGAATTAACAGATGCAAGGAAAAACAATAAAAAGTGACAGTTTTTTAAAGGAACATGATGGATAAAGGCAACATAAAAGAGAAATAATAGGAAGAAGATAATGAAATCAATTTAATCTTACTGAATTTGGAGAGCTATGAACCATCAAAATTATGATACAGAAGAGGCTATTGGGACTAGAACTCAAGAAATTGTACTATAAATGATAATATTGATATTCATGATTCAAGTTATATGTAATCTCCTAGAGATTGAATAGTATAAGAAGAAATGGGAATTAGAATACAGGTTTAAAACATTCCAACATATAAGAAGAATGTAGAGGAGAAGGAGGTGCCAGCAAAAGACAATGAGGAGTTGTCAAAGATTTTGGAAGATTGGGAGAATGTTCTGACATAGAATGCAATGAAAGAGTAGTTACTAAAGAATGTTTTCAAGAGGGTCAAATGCTTCTCAGAAAATAAGAAATCTCAAATATATCCTTGGAATTATTAATATGAAGATTAATGACAACATTGGCAATAGGAATAAACAACAAACTACAAAGAATGAGGAATGTAAACAAATGGATTTTGTGAATAGAGAATTTATTCCAGAAGTGTTAACGTATCAAGAAGATAGATCAAATCTTACACTAAACAAATATGGGAAAGAGTGAAGGATTTTTTCACTTTATTTGTTTTTGCAGGAGAAACAAAACCTGTTTAAAAACTAATCAGAAGGAACCAATAGAGTAAGACAAGTACACAGGAAATAGAAAGAATAGCAGATGGCAATAACTTCCTATGAAAATGTAAAAAACAAAGTCTAGAATAGAGTCATAAAGACTGATTTTACATGAGATATTGAGTTCCTTCTGGTTGTAGCAGGAAATAAAAAATACTTTGGATCACTTAAAGATACGTGTATAAAAGTGATGATAAGATGATGGTCAGTCCAATGACTTCAGTTGTCTCTGTTAAAAAGTCTTTTATTTTTTATTATACTTTAAGTTCTAGGGTACAGGTGCACAACGTGCAGGTTTGTTACACATGTATACATGCGCCATGTTGGTGTGCTGCACCCATTAATTCATCATTTACATTAGGTATATCTCCTAATGCTATCCCTTCCCCCTCCCCCACCCCATGACAGGGCCCGGTGTGTGACGTTCCCCTTCCTGTGTCCAAGTGTTCTCATTGTTCAATTCCCACCTATGAGTGAGAACATGCGGTGTTTGGTTTTTTGTCCTTGTGATAGTTTGCTGAGAATGATGGTTTCCAACTTCATCCATATCCCTACAAAGGATATGAACTCATCATTTTTTTTGGCTGCATAGTATTCCATGGTGTATATGTGCCACATTTTCTTAATCCAGTCTATCATTGATGGACATTTGGGTTGGTTCCAAGTCTTTGCTTTTGTGAATAGTGTCACAATAAACATACGTGTGCATGTGCCTTTATAGCACCATGTTTTATAGTCCTTTGGGTATATACCCAGTAATGGGATGGCTGGGTCAAATGGTATTGCCAGTTCTAGATCCTTGAGGAGTCGCCACACTGTCTTACACAATGGTTGAACTAGTTTACAGTCCCACCAACAGTGTAAAAGTGTTCCTAATTCACCACATTCTCTCCAGCACCTATTGTTTCCTGACTTTTTAATGATCACCATTCTAACTGATGTGAGATGGTATCTCATTGTGGTTTTGATTTGCATTTCTCTGATGGCCAGTGATGATGAACATTTTTTCATTGTCTGTTGGCTGCATAAATGTCTTCTTTTGAGAATTGTCTGTTCATATCCTTCACCCACTTTTTGGTGGGGTTGTTTTTTTCTTGTAAGTTTGTTTGAGTTCTTTGTAGATTCTGGATATTAGCCCATTATCAGATGGGTAGATTGCAAAAATTTTCTCCCATTCTGTAGGTTGCCTGTTCACTCTGATGGTAGTTTCTTTTGCTGTACAGAAGCTCTTTAGTTTAATGAGATCCCATTTGTCAACTTTGGCTTTTGTTGCCATTGCTTTTGGTGTTTTAGACATGAAGTCCTTGCCCATGCCTATGTCCTGAATGGTATTGTCTAGATTTTCTTCTAGGGTTTTTATGGTTTTTGATCTAACATTTAAGTCTTTAATCCATCTTGAATTAATTTTTGTATAAGATGTAAGGAAGGGATCCAGTTTCAGCTTTCTACAAATGACTAGCAAGTTTTCCCAGCACCATTTATTAAACAGGGAATCTTTTCCCCATTTCTTGTTTTTGTCAGGTTTGTCAGATGGTTGTAGATGTGTGGTATTATTACTGAGAGCTCTGTTCTGTTCCATTGGTCTATATCTCTGTTTTGGTAACAGTACCATGCTGTTTTTGTTACTGTAGCCTTGTAGTATAGTTTGAAGTCAGGTAGTGTGATGCCTCCAGCTCTGTTCTTTTGGCTTAGGATTGTCTTGGCAATGTGGGCTCTTTTTTGGTTCCATATGAACTTTCAAGTAGTTTTTTCCAATTCTGTGAAGAAAGTGATTGGTAGCTTGATGGGGATGGCATTGAATCTATAAATTACCTTGGGCAGTATGGCCATTTTCACGATATTGATTTTTCCTATCCGTGAGCATGGAATGTTCTTCCATTTGTTTGTATCCTCTTTTATTTCGTTGAGCAGTGGTTTGTAGTTCTCCTTGAAGAGGTCCTTCACATCCCTTATACGTTGGATTCCTAGGTATTTTATTCTCTTTGAAGCAATTGTGAATGGGAGTTCACTCATGATTTGGCTTTCTGTTTGTTATTGGTGTGTAAGAATGCTTGTGATTTTTGCACATTGATTTTGTATCTTGAGACTTTGCTGAAGTTGCTTATCGGATTAAGGAGATTTTGTGCTGAGACAATGGGGTTTTCTAAATATACAATCATGTCATCTGCAAACAGGGACAATTTGACTTATTCTTTTCCTAATTGAATACGCTGTGTTTCTTTCTCCTGCCTGATTGCCCTGGCCAGAACTTCCAACAATATGTTGAATGGGAGTGGTGAGAGAGGGCATCCCTGTTGTGTGCCAGTTTTCAAAGGGAATGCTTCCAGTTTTTGCCCATTCAGTATGATATTGGCGGTGGGTTTGTCACAGATAGCTCTTATTATTTTGAGGTACGTCCCATCAATACTTAATTTATTGACAATTTTTAGCATGAAGTGCTGTTAAATTTTGTCAAAGGTCTTTTCTGCATCTATTGAGATAATCATGTGGTTTTTGTCTTTGGTTCTGTTTATATGCTGGATTACATTTATTTATTTGCATATGTTGAACCAGCCTTGCAGCCCAGGGATGAAGCCCACTTGATCATGGTGGATAAGCTTTTTGATGTGCTGCTGGATTCGGTTTGCTAGTATTTTACTGAGGATTTTTGCATCAATGTTCATCAGGGATATTGGTCTAAAATTCTTTTTTTGTTTTGTTTCTGCCAGGCTTTGGTATCAGGATGATGCTGGCCTCATAAAATGAGTTAGGGAGGATTCCCTCTTTTTCTATTGATTGGAATAGTTTCAGAAGGAATGGTACCAGCTCCTCCTTGTACCTCTGGTAGAATTCAGCTGTGAATCCATATGTTCCTGGACTTTTTTTGACTGGTATGCTATTAATTATTGCCTCAATTTCAGAGCCTGTTATTGGTCTATTCAGGGATTCAAGTTCTTCCTGGTTTAGTCTTGGGAGGGTGTATGTGTCCAGGAATTTATCCATTTCTTCTAGATTTTCTAGTTTATTTGCATAGAGGTATCTATAGCATTCTCTGATGGTAGTTTGTATTTCTGTGGGATCAGTGTTGATATCCCCTTTATCGTTTTTTATTGCATCTATTCGATTCTTCTCTCTTTTCTTCTTTATTAGTCTTGCTAGTGGTCTATCAATTTTGTTGATCTTTTCAAGAAACCAGCCCCTGGATTCATTGATTTTTTGAAGGGTTTTTTGTGTCTCTATCTCCTTCAGTTCTGCTCTGATCTTAGTTATTTCTTGCCTTCTGCTAGCTTTTGAAAGTGTTTGCTCTTGCTTCTCTAGTTCTTTTAATTGTGATGTTACGGTGTCAATTTTAGATCTTTCCTGCTTTCTTTTGTGGGCATTTAGTGCTATGAATTTCCCTCTACACACTGCTTTAAATGTGTCCTAGAGATTCTGGTATGTTGTGTCTTTGTTTTCATTGGTTTCAAAGAACATCTTTATTTCTGGCTTCATTTCGTTATGTACCCAGTAGTCATTCAGGAGCAGGTTCAGTTTCCATGTAGTTGAGCAGTTTTAAGTGAGTTTCTTTTTATTTTTTTCTCTTCTTGACACGGAGTCTCGCTCTTTCGCCCAGGCCGGAGCGCAGTGGTGCCATCTCAGCTCACTGCAAGTTCCGCCTCCCAGGTTCATGCCATTCTCCTGCCTCAGCCTCCCGAGTAGCTGGGACTACAGGCACCCACCACTGTGTCTGGCTAATTTTTTGTATTTTTAGTAGAGACGGGGTTTCACCATGTTAGCCAGGATAGTCTTGATCTCCTGACTTCATGATCTGCCTGCCTCGGCCTCCCAAAGTGTTGGGATTACAGGCGTGAGCCACCGTGCCTGGCCTTAAGTGAGTTTCTTAATCCTGAGTTCTAGTTTGATTGCCCTGTGGTCTGAGAGACAGTTTGTTACAATTTCTGTTCTTTTACATTTCCTGAGGAGTGCTTTACTTCCAACTATGTGGTCAGTTTTGGAATAAGTGTGATGTGATGCTGAGAAGAATGTATATTCTGTTGATTTGGGATGGAGAGTTCTGTAGATGTCTATTAGGTCCGCTTGGTGCTGAGCTGAGTTCAATTCCTGGATATCCTTGTTAACTTTCTGTCTTGTTGATCTGTCTATTGTTGACAGTGGGGTGTTAAAATCTCCCATTATTATTGTGTGGGAGTCTAAGTCTCTTTGTAGGTCTCTAAGGACTTGCTTTGTGAATCTGGGTGCTCCTGAATTGGGTGCATATATATTTAGGATAGTTAGCTCTTCTTGTTGAATTGATCCCTTTACCATTATGTGATGGCCTTCTTTGTCTGTTTTGATCTTTGTTGGTTTAAAGTCTGTTTTATCAGAGACTAGGATTGCAACCTTTTTTTGTTTTCCATTTGCTTGGTAGATCTTCCTCCATCCCTTTATTTTGAGCCTATGTGTGTCTCTGCACGTGAGATGGGTCTCCTGAATACAGCACACTGATAGGTCTTGACTCTTTACACAATTTGCCAGTCTGTGTATTTTAAATGGAGCATTTAGCCCATTTACATTTAAGGTTAATATTGTTATGTGTGAATTTGATCTTGTCTTATGAGTTAGCTGGTTATTTTGCTCGTTATCTGATTCTGTCATTATGATGTTAGCTGGTTATTTTGCTCATTAGCTGATGCCAAATTGTAAAGACCATCAGTGCTAGGAAGAAAAAATCTTTTCTTAATTGGTAGCTTATCTAAGAAAAATAGGAGTTTTGAGGAAAATAGAGAAATTTTGAAATCCTCATGGGTGAAGGATGAGTGAATGGGACTAGAACAATAACATAATAGGATTGGGGATAGACTCAAGGTCTCTGTTGTCTAGGACTGTGGGTTAGGAAATTTTAGTGTCATCAAACTGCCCAGTTATGTAATTCATCCAACTTTTAAAGGACTGTAGAGACTAATTGCCAAGTTCACATATCCTTGTGGAAGTTAATAATGGTACAATGAGGTAACAAAGTTAAGAAATTTGCAAAGGACATTGCTATGATCTGAATGTTTATCTCATCTCAAAATTCATATGTTGAAATCTCAACCCTAATGGTATTAGGAGGTGATTAGGTCATTAGAGCAGAGCCATTATGAACAACATTAATGCTCTTAGAAAAGAAGTTTCAGTTCCCTTGCCTTTTCTACCATGTGAGGATGCAGTGAGAAAGAGCCATCTGTGAACCAGGAAACAGACCTTCACCAGACATCAAATCTGCTGGCACCTTGATCTTAGGCTTCCAAGCCACCAGAATTGTGAGAAATACATTTCTGTTGCTCATTTGCTACCTAGTTTATGCCGTTTTGTTATAGCAGCCCAAACTGACCAAGATAGACATGTTGAAGGGTTGCATACTGATATTTAAATGAGAAAAGTGTATAATCTCAGCTGGCAAGTGTAAAGGAAGGAAAGGGGGTTAATGTTCTTAATTTCCTTTTCTTTCTTTCTTCTTTCTTTTTTTCTTTCTTTCTTTTTTTTTTTTTTTTTTTTTTTTTGAGACAGGGTCTCACTGGGTTTCCGAAGAACTGGAGTGTGGTGGTTCACTGCAGACTCAATCTTCCCAGCTCAAGTGATCTTCCCACTTCAGCCTCCCTTGTTGTTGGGACTACAGTCACGTGCCGCCACACTAGGCTAATCCAGGCAATATTTTTTTTTGGTGAGGGGGTGGGAACAGAGTTTTGCCATGTTGCCCAGGCTGGTCTCAAACTCCTGGGCTCAAGATATCTGCCTGCCTTGGCCTCCCACAGTGCTGGGATTATAGGTGTGAGCCACCCCTCCTGGCCCAGGGTTATGTTCTTAATTGAAATAATGAAGTAAAGAGATTAGAGATTGTGATTTGAGATTGTCTGCATCTTAGAAATTATTATGAAATTTTGATATTGGGGAAAATTTCTAATTTGTGTAAGTCTGATTTGAAAATTTGATTGAGTGTATACCTTACTTTTTAAAAAAAATATGCTGTTTAAATTTTAAGTTTATGTCTGGGTTGCTTTAGCTACTCCCCATAACTTTTGGTAGGTTAGGTTATTACTGTCACTTAGTTATTGTATATTTAACGTTCCTTGTGATTTTCTCTTTGATCCTTGGGTTACTTAGTAAGTTGTATGCTTTTAAAATTTCAAATATCTTCTTATTGATTTCTAAGTAAATGCCATGTGACCAGTAAACATGTTCTAGATGACTTTGATCTCTTAAAATAAATAGAATAGGCCAGGCACCGTGGCTCACGCCTGTAATCCCAGCACTTTAGGAGGCTGAGACGTGCTGATCAGAAGGTCAGGAGATCAAGACCATCCTGGCTAACACAGTGAAACGCCGTCTCTACTAAAAATACAAAAAATTAGCCGGGCGAGGTGGTGGGTACCTGTAGTCCCAGCTGCTCGGGAGGCTAAGGCAGGAGAATGGCGTGAACCCCAGGGGACGGAGCCTGCCGTGAGCCGAGATTGTGCCACTGCACTCCAACCTGGGCGACAGCGAGACTCCGTCTCAAAAAAAAAAAAAAAAAATTAGCCAGGCCTGGTGTCAGGCGCCTGTAGTCCCAGCTACTCAGGAGGTTGAGGCAGGAGAATGGCGTGACCCAGGAGGCAGAGCTTGCAGTGAGCTGAGATCGAGCCACTGCACTCCAGCCTGGGCAACTGAGACTCTGTCTCAAAATAAATAAATAAATAAAAAATAAATAGAATATTGTTTTATGGCCCAGCATATAATCAATATTGGTCAGTGTTACATGCATACATGAGGACTTTCTCTGCTGCTATTTGGTTCATTATTCTCTAAACATCCATTAGATCAACTTATTAATAGTATTGTTCAATTATATATTCCTGATGATATTTTATCTACTTGTTAGTTTCCAACTATAGTTGTGAATTTTTCTATTTTTAACTTTATTTCTGCCAATTTTTACTTTAAGTAGTTAGACACTTTGTTTTCGGTGTCACTGATTTAACACTATTGTTATAATTGTTAATATTTTATTATTATTATAAATATTGCTATTATTGTTATTAGGTGCTATTAGATACTTACACCTAAAAACAATGTAATACAACCATATTAGAAAATTTTGAAGATATTAATGACTTGCTTAAAAAATAGCAATAGAATATCTGAAATGACCAAAATACTTTTTTAAAGAGGATAAGCGTTCACAACAAAAGCAGGCAATTTACTTAAAGTTCCTGTTAGTGCAGTTCAAAGTTTGTTTTGATAAGCTTTATTTTTTTAATTCTCAAAAACTTGCACTTTAAGCTTAGAGTTATAAAATTAGGCTAAGAAGGTTAGAATAGTCAGAAATTCAAGAACAAATACAAATAAAATACATTGAATGTTAAAAGAAAAGAAGAATCCAGAGGTCTGCTAGTGTTACCCTATAAGCAGCCATATGAGCATACTCAAGTTAAAAATAATGTAGTAATCTGATCAAGATCTCAAAAAATAGAATTTGACAGATAGGTTTGGTCTCCAGAGCTAGTGATCATTTGTCAGAAGCATGCCACACAAATAAAGATAGACTGCAGTATTTTAGAGGAGATTACACTTCATCTTCCAGTTTTTAAATGATTTTGTTTTTACATAAGGCAACAGACAAAGAACACTGAATGATCACTAGCATTAAATAATAACCAATGACCCACATTACATATATTGATTAGCTAACCCTTTCTAGATGTTGGTGTTCTTAAACTTGTCAATAGCTCTTCACAATTAAAAATAACATTGAGTGGGAAAGCACCATTTATCATCTGTCTGGTCAAAGACAACCCAACTTAACTTAGTGGATTATAGATTTGGAATAGATCATTCAGGAAAAGATCTGAAGATATTAATGGGTATTAATTGGGGGGAAAGTTACTGTTATATTATTTCACAATACAGAAATGTGTGCAAATAATAAAAGTGCAGCAGTATTAATTTTCCCAAAATAAGACACCTGTGAAACTACTGCCTCAATCAATAAATATTACATTACCAGCATCAAGAAGCCTCTTCTTGCTTCTTCCTAGTCATTAACCTTCAAGGTAACCACTATTCTGATCTCTAACATCTTGGTAGATATATTAATATCATATTAAAACATGTCACTCATGAAATAAAAATTACCACATTGATTTAAAGATGCTCTGATAATTTCTATAACAGCTATCATTTAAAAATTACAAATATTATAAGTGAATTGCAAATTATAGTGTTGCCTTGTAGGTTTAAAGTAAATTATAGCTGTTCTTCATATTCTTCATAGAGGAGTTTATTTAATTGAATGAAATTTTAAAAACTTAATATTTCCCAGTACCTGTGGTTTTCAAGTCTACTAGATACTAAGGTATCTGTCTTTATGGATTTGATCATTATATACATATGTAGATATATTTTGTAATTGACACCTAATAATTGTACATATTATGAAACACAGGGTGACATTTCAATACATATATACAATGTAAGTAAGTATCATTTCAAGGCAAAAAGGGAACTCTTATACACTGCTGGTGAAAATAAAAATTAGTACAGTCACTATGTAAAACAGTATGAAGACTCTCTAAAAACTAAAAATAAAACTACCATATGATCCAGAAATCACTCTACTGTGTATTTATCCAAAGTAAAGGAAATCAGTATTTCAAAGAGTTATGGACCCCCGTGTTTATTGTAGCTCTATTCACAATAGCCGAGATATGAAATCAACATAAATGTCTATCAAAGGATACATGGATAAAGCAAACGTTATACACACATACGCGCGTGCACACACACACACACACACACAGTTGAACACTATTCAGCCCTGAAAAAGAATAAAATCCTGTAATTCATTGCAACATGGATGGAACCGGAGGACATTATGTAAGTGAAGTATGAGAAGCACAGAAAGACACAAATCACAAATTCTCACTCATGTGGGAGGCACAAAAGTTGTGCTCATAGAAGTAGACTACTGGTTACTAGAGGCAGGGAAGGAGAAGGGAGAGGATGGTTATTGAATACAAAATTACAGCTAGATAGAAGGGGTAAGTTCTAGTATTCTACAGCACTGTAGGATGACTATCATTAATAAAAATTTATTATATGTTTTCAGACCGCTAGAAGAGAGGATTTTGAATGTTCCCAAAACAAATAAATAATCATTGCTATTACTATTTTTACTACAAATTAGTGCAATTATCTTTAGTAATAATATTAAGGAGTAACAAGGAGAAGAATCAGAAGGTGAAAGAAGAGGATGAAAGATTTATTTTAAATATTTTTCATTTTGAAAAAGTAATTTATTTTCTTTGTAATCCAAGAGTTTATTTGAGAAAGGGTTCTAAATAATATCAAAGGCATTTATATTTATTTTACTTTCATATGACTTTTGTAATTTATTTTAAATTTTGCTCAACTTTATGTAACTTCTCCCTTATAAGTTTCTGATATATGGAAGTATTTGGAGACATAGGACAAAGGTGTAAAACCAAATAAAAGTTTAAAATAGATATTATGTACTGTGCTCAAACACATACATAACAGCATTCAAACACACACACACCTGCAATTTGATTGTCTTAGTTAGACATCCCCTTTTATCCTTCATATTCTGCTTGCTATTTAGTATTGAAAGACTCAGGGAAGTCTCTACACTTAAAAGATCTTGATTTTTAATGACAGGAGAGAGTAAATAAGAATATGGAAATGGGAAGATAATCATATTTGGGTGACTTCTATCTCTACATTTATATTCCTTCTGAGTAATGAGATAACTTCCTCATGTCAAAGTTTTATGTCCTTATAGATACAATTTTTAAATATTATTTTTGTAAATTTTTATCATTATTATGCTCTTTCTCATGCACTAACTCACTTGATTCTCCTAAAAAAACTTGAATTGATTGGTATATTTTCCAAATTTTGCAGATTAAAAAAGTAAGACTCAAAAACTTAAGTAAATTTCCTGAAATTATATGTCTAATGACTATGGTTGGAGCTGGATCGCAAAGCCAGATCTGGCCTCATTTTGCAAACATATTCTACACAGAATAAAAATTGTAGATAACCATTGTGTTTAGAATTCACAAAGTCAACAATTTCTGGTTTCTGCCTATCAAAATTCGAAGAAATTCCAGTTTTTTTAGAGTCTCTCCCAATCCTGATATGTCCACAAATCTGGAACTATAATTTTGTTGAGAATATTTTCCATGAAAATTGCATACATAATACAGTGATTAAAAATTAATTTACTAAATGTTTTCCATTAATGAATTCAGTTCATTGGAAAGTGCAAACACGAATGACACAGGCAATTTTTCTATTATCTTTATATTGTATTATTTATTCACCATGGCCGTATTTTCATGATATTTAGAATTCTTACGTTGAGTTGACAGAGAGTACTAAGAGATTCAGCTAACTTAACCCTTGCCTTTTTATAAGTTATAGACATATTGTTATCAATATATGATCAAACAGAATATAGAGGGGCATATAAGTGACAAACCAAGGATTATATAATCATTTACCCTATGCAATATAACTATCTGACATACACATGTACATACACATAAAATATACATAGTTATATGTTTAATATACACAATTTCCACTTAATCTTTGGAAAACTGAAAGCTAGCTCTTTGCTATTTCAACTTCTTACTTTCTTTACTTGAAAACTTGAAGTTTTATTCCCTTTGGAAAATTAATTAAAGAAAAATAACTTAAAAACCCACTTAAGTTGTCTCTATTTTATTGTTAGTTGGATTCAGAAAATAATATATTGAAAACCACCATTGTTTTACTGTATATTTTCTCTTATGAAAAGTAATATATATTTAAGTTTATTTTTAGTTTATCTCTTTTATACGTAAGTTACACTTTTTTAAAAATTTTATTTATTTTTAATTTTTAAATTTTTAAATTTTTAAAATTTTAACATTGTTTTAATTTTTATGGGTACATAGTAGGTATATATGTTTATGGGTTATATGTGATATTATGATACAGGCATACAATACATAATAATCACATCAGGGTAAATGGGGTACCCATCGCCTCAAGCATTTATCATTTCTTGTTGTTGCAAACATTCTAATTATACTATTTTAGTTATTTTAAAATGTATAATAAATTATTGTTGACTGTAATCACTCTGCTGTGCTATCAAATACTAAATCTTATTTATTCTACCTTTTTGTACGCATTAACCATCCCCTTGTTACCCACTACCCTTCCCAGTCTCTAGTAATCATTATTCTACTCTCTTTCTCCATGAGTTTAATTATTTTAATTTTTAGCTATCACAAATAAGTGAGAACATGCAAAGTTTGTCTTTGTGTGACTGGCTTATTTCAATTAACATAACAACCTCCAGTTCCATCCATGTTGCAAATGATAGGCTCTCGTTTTATTAATGGCTGAATAGCACACCATTGTGTATACGTATCATATTTTCTTTTTCCATTCGTCTGTTGATGGACACTTAGGTTGCTTTCAAATCTTGGCTATTGTGAATAGCATTGCAATTAACATGGAAGTGCAGATGTCTCTTTGATATACTGATTTTCTATCATTGGGCTATATACCTAGCAGTGGGATTGCTAGATCTTATGGTAGTTCTATTTTTCATTTTTTGAGGATTCTCCATACTGTTCTCCGTAGTGACTGTACTAATTGACATTCCCACCAACTATGTACGGGGGTTTCCTTTTCTCCACATCTTCACTAGCATTTGTTATTGACTATCTTTTAAATATAAGCAACTTTAACTGGGTTAACATGATATCTCATTGTAGTTTTGATTTGCATTTATCTGATGGCCAGTTATGTTGAACATGTTTTCATTTGCCTGTTTGCCATTTGTATGTCTTCTTTTGAGAAATGTCTATTCAGATCTTTTGCCCATTTTTTAATCAAATTATTAGATTGCTTCCTATTGAATTGTTTGAGTTCCTTATATATTCTGGTGTTTAATCCCTTGTCAGAAGAATATATTGTAAATATTTTCTCCCATTCTGTAGTTTCTCTCTTTCTTTGTTGATTGTTTCCCTTGCTGTACAGAAGCTTTTTAACTTGATATTATTCCATTTGTCCTTTTTTGCTTTGGTTGTCTGTGCTTGAGGGATATTACTCAAGAAATCTTTGCCCAGAACAATGTCTGGAAAAGTTTCCCCAATGTTTTATTGTGGTATTTTCATAGTTTGAGGTCTTCTCTTAGATTTAAGTCTTTCATCCATTTTGACTTCATTTTTGAATACGGCAAGAAACAGGGGTCTCATTTTATTCTTCTGCTTATGGATAATCCAGTTTTTCCACTACCATTTATTTAAGAGGTTGTCCTTGTCCCAGTGTATGTTATAGGTACCTTTGTCAGAAATGAGTTCAATGTAGATGTATGGGCTTATATCTGGGCTCTCTTTTCTGTTCCATTGGTCTTTGTGTCTGTTTTTATGCCACTACTATGTTGTATTGGTTACAAAAGCTCTTTGCAAAAATAACCTCAGTTTTGTTCTTTTTTGGCTCAGGATTGCTTTAGCTTTTGGGTTCTTTTGTAGTTCTATATAAATTATAAGATTTTTTCTTTTTCTATGAAGAATACCATTGGTATTTGAATAGGGATTACATTGAATCCGTAGATTGCCTTGGGTAGTATGAACATTTTAACAATATTGCTTCTTCTACTCTATGAAATTTGAATATTTTTGCATTTTATTGTGTCCTCTTCAATTATTTTCATCAGTGTTTTATAGTTTTTATTGTAGAGATCATTCACTTTGGTTAAGCTTATTCTTTTGTCTTATTTTACTTATAGCTATTGTAAGTGGGATTACTTTCTTGATTTCATTTTTAGATTGTTCACTGTTGGCATATATGAGTACTACTGACTTTTGTGTGTTGATTTTGTATCCTGCAACTTTACTGCATTTGTTTATCAGTTCTAATAGTTTTTCTATACAGAAAATCATAACATCTGCAAAGAAGGATAATTTAACTTCTTCTTTTCCAATTCGGATGCACTTTATTTCTTTCTCATGTCTGACTGCTCTAGCTAGGACTTCCAGTTTTATGTTGAAGAACAGTGGTGAAAGCGGGCATCTTTATTTGGTTCCAGATTTTAGAGAAAATGCTTTCAGTTTTTCCCCATTTAGTGTGATTCTAGCTGCGGGTCTGTTGTATATGGCTTTTATTGTATTGAGGTATGTTCCTTCTATACCCAGTTTTTTGAGAGCTTTTATTATAAAAGGATGTTAAATTTATCAAATATTTTTTCAGCATCAACTGAAATGATCATATAGGTTTTTACAGTAGATACATTTATTCCAGCTATTTTTTTCTTTATTTTGTTTCAATAGTTTTTGGGAAACAGGTGGTTTTTGGTTACATGGATAAGTTCTTTAGTGGTGATTTCTGAGATCTTGGTGCACCCATTACCTGAGCAGTGTACACTGTCTACAATGTGTAGCCTTTTATCCCTCACTAGCCTCCCACCCTTCCCTCTGATTCCCCAACATCCATTATATCATTCTGATGCCCTTGTGTCCTCATACTTTAGCTCCCATTTATAAGTGAGAACCTTCAATATTTAATTTTTCATTCCTGAATTACTTCACTTAGAATAATGGTCTTCAACTCCATCCAGGTTGCTGCTAATACCATTATTTCATTCCCTTTTAAGACTGGGTAGTATTCCATGGTGTGTGTGTGTGTGTGTGTGTGTGTGTGTTTGTGCATGTAATGCATGGTGTGTGCCACTATCACAGAGAGGAGATACAGTGGTCAGTAAATATAAGCTCTTCAACTGGATTGCCTAGGGGATTCATCAGAGAAGCAGTGTGATCCACAGAGAGCAGAGATGAGTGAGTCAGGGCAGATTCCCAGCAGGATTGGCACAAAGCCAAGGGGGGCTCCCCACTCTGGGGAAAGGGTGAGTGAATGAGAGCCCCCAGGGACCCACACTTCTGCCATGGACCTTATCAGTACTGAACACAGGAGAGTCCCTCCCTCCCCTCCCCACAGGGCCTCCAGACTGACATGGAGAGTTGTGCAAAGTCCGGACAGAGCTGCTGCTCAGACTCATGTGGAAACCCAGGGATCTTGGGTCCCTGAGTGCCCTGACTCCAGCAGCTGTAGTTCCACCAACAAGGGAGGTCAGGCTTTCTCACATGCCCCCAGGAAAGGGGCTGCATCCACAGTGCTGAGGAGCAGACAGACTGCAGACCTCGCCTCTGTTGCACCACTCCAGGCAAAGCTCTGTGACCTGGGACCCCAGGACAACTACCCTACCCCAACCTCAGCACTTGACTATAGCAGTTCTGCATTCCTCTAAGGTGGAGCTCCTAGGGGTAACTAGGAGGTCTACAGCTTTTGCCACTGCCACAGTCCCTGCCCATACTGCCTTCAGGCTGGGAAGGGAGCAAAGAGCACAAGAGCTATCACCTCGGTTGCTGTACAGAAAAGTGGCCAGACTGTTTTCCTCATGGTTCCCTGCCCCTGCTACTCCTCACTGGGGAGGTCCTCCCAACCTTGGCCCGCAGAACAGCCACCCTACCCATGCCTGATCACTTCAGTCAGTGGAGGACCTGCATATCTCTGGGGTAGAATTCCTAGAGACAACCCATAACCCCTCGGCCTCTGCCACTGCAATGGTGTCACCCTTGTTGCCCTTGGGCTGGAAAGGGAACAAAGACCCTGATCACTTTGCTCACACCCCCAGCACATCCCAGCTGCTCTGTGGAGAGCAGCCCAGTGTCTCTTCCCTTTCAGCTCCTAACCCCTTGCTTTTCACCAAGCTAGGCCCCCAGCTTGGGCCCACAGTGCAACAGCCCCATCCTGAGCTGAACATTCCATTGGCAGCAGCTCTGTATCTCTCTGGGGTGGAGTTCCCAGAGGCAACTTACAGCCCCTCTGCCATTGTCACCATAGTGGTACCTCCTTTTCTGCCACTGGGCTGGGAGTGAGCAAAGAACCAGAGTGCTTTACTTGCAACTCTAGCACACTGTGACCACCCTACACAGAAGAGGCCAGACTGTCTTCACCATGAGCCCTCCCATCTGCTCCCTGGCTTGGGCCTGCAATGCAGCTACCCTACCCAGATTAGATTAGCAGCAGTTCTGTGTTTTCCTGTGGCAGAACCCCCAGAGACAAGTTTAAGACCCTTGCTGCTGCCACTGCCAAGGTCGCCACTCCTGCTGCCCCCAAGCTGGGGAGGGAACCGAAAGCCTGAGCTCACCCTGGGTTTGCCATGCACAGCCTGGGAGTGCCAAGCCAATATTTGTGGCCAGCACTTGAGTGTGACAGAAGCCTCCACTCTCAGAACTCTGAGAGGTAGCACAGCTGCAAATGTGAGGAAATATTGAGGAGGAGCACTGATCAGTAAGAGCCTATTTATGGACACTACATGTAAGTTCCATCTACTGGATCACAGCACAAACTTCAACGGGAAAAAAACTTGGCTAATATTCCTCCTTGTGAAACCAATGACAATAATTCAGCCACAAATAAAGACCCTACGCAAAGCTTCAGCCTTCCGCAAACATCTAGAAATGAAGCCAACTGATGGTACTCAAATGTCACCACAGTTAAAGAACATCAGTCCACACAGATGAGAAAGAACCAGTGCTAAAACTCTGGCAACTCTAAAAGCCAAAATGTCCTCTTACATATAAATGACTGTACTAGCTCCCCAGATATGGTTCTTAACCAGAATAAAATGGCTGAAATGACAGATGTAAAATACAGAATTTAGATGGCAACAAAAATCAAGATTCAGAAGAAAGCTGAAATCTAATCCAAGGAATCTAAGGAATCCAGTAAAACAATACACAAGCTGAAAGATAAAGTATCTGTTTTAAGAAAGAACAAAAGTGACCTGACAGAGATGAAAAACTAACTATAAGAACTTCATAAAACAATCAGAATTATTAGCAGCAAAATAAACCAAGCTGAGGAAAGAATCTCTGAGCTTGAAGACTGGTTCTTTGAATTAACTCAGTCAGACAAAAGTAAAGTAAAAATGTATTTGAAAAAATAAACAAAATATCTCGGAAGAAATATAGGACTATGTAAAGAGACCAAATTTGTGACTCAGTGGCATCACTGAAAGAAAAGGAAGGAGAGTAAGCAACTTAGAAAACATATTTGATGGTCTTGTTCATGAAAATCTCCCCAAACTCACCAGAGAGGTTGACACAGAAACCTGGGAAATTCAGAGATCTTTGCAAGATACAATACATGATGACCATCTCCAAGACAAAAAGACATCAGATTCGCCATAGTCACTGTGAAATAAAAAATACTAAAGTCAGGTAGAGAGAAAAGGCACCTATATAGGGAACCCTGTCTGCCTGACAGTGGATCTTTCAGCAGAAACCCTAAAAGCCAGAAGAAATTGAGGGCTCATATTCAGCATCCATAAATAAAAGAAATTACCATTTTGGAGGCCAAGGTGGGTGGATCACTTGAGCTCAGGAATTCAAGACCAGCCTGGGCAACATGGTGAAATCTCGCCTCTACCAAAAATTAAAAAAAAAAAAAAAATAGCTAGGCGTGGTGGTATGTCTAGGTGACAGAATGTGGCTCCATCTTAAAAATAAAGAAAAGAAATTCCAGTCAACAATTTCATATCCCACTAAACTAAGCTTCATAAGCAAAGAAGAAATACAATCCTTTTTAGACAAGTAAATCCTAAGAGAATTTATTACTACCAGACCTGCCTTGCATATGGTTTTTACTAAGGGAGTGCTAAACACGAAAACAAAAGACAGTTACTGGCCACCACAAAAACACACTTAAGTATGAAAATCATTGACTCTTAAAGCACAATTAAGTCTACATAAAAACCAGCTAACAACATATGACAAAATCAAATCCTCAAATATTAATATTGAGTTTGAATGTAACTGTGCTAAATGCCCCACTTAAAAGGCACAGGGTGGCAAGTTGGATAAAGAAGCAAGACCCAACTGTATGCTGCCTTCAGGAGACCTGTCTCACATGCAAGGATACCCATAGGCTCAAAGTAAAGGGATAGAGAAAGATATATCAGGCAAACAGGAAAAAAGAATCAGGGGTTGCTATGCTTATTTCAGACAAAACATACATTAAACTAACAATAATCAAAAAGGACAAAGAAGGGCACTACGTAATTATAAAGGGTTCAGTACAATAAAACTTATCTATCCTAAATATATATGCACACAACACTGTGGCACCCAGATTAATAAAAGAAGTTGTTAGAGATTTATGAACAGACTTATAACCACACAATAGTAGTCAGAGACTTCAACACCACACTGACAATATTAGACAGATCATCAAGGTACAGTACTAACAAAGATATTCAGGATCTAAACTCAACAGTTGGTCAAATGGACCTAAGAGACATCTACAGAACACTCCAGACAGCAACAACACAATACACATTTTTTTCATCTGCACATAGCACATACTCTAAAATTGACGACATACTTGGCCAAAAAGCAATTCTCAACAGATTAAAAAATAAATCCCAAAACACAAAATCACACAAACCACAATCTTGGGCCATAGTGCAATAAAAAATTACATCAATACCAAGAAGATCTCTCAAAGCAACTAAATTACATGGTAATTAAACAACTTGCTCCTGAATGACTTTTGGCTAAAGAATGAAATTAAGGCAGAAATCAAGAAATTATTTGAAAATAATGAAAACAAAGATGAAACATACTAGAATCTCTGGGATCCAGCTAAAGCAGTATTAAGAGGAAAGTTTATAGTGCTTAACACCCACATCAAAAAGTTAGAAAGGTCTCAAATTAAAGTCACCAAAGTTTCAGGACTCAAAGTTAACATACAAAAATCAGTAGCATTTCTACACACAAATGATGTTCAAACTGAGCTAAATCAAGAACACAATCCCATTCACAATAGCCACAAAAGGAATAAAATTACATTTCACCTAAAGGAACTAGAAAGACAAAAACAAACCAACCCCAAGGCTAGCAGAAGAAAAAACTAACCAAAATCAGAACTGAACTAAATGAAATGGAAAGGAGAAAACACATACAAAAGCTTGTGGTAAGGTTATCATTCACATTTAGGATCTTTAAGATTTTTCTCACCTTTGGCAAGCCTTTTGGGAGCTTTATTGCCTGGTTTGATTATTTAGATTTTATCCACCAAGATTTCAATCTCAGAGTGTTCTTGCCTTTCTCAGGACAAGATTGCCTGCATTGTCCATTCACTATAATCACTGGGAACAAAATAACCAAGTGATGGCCCTGTCTCTCCACAAGTTCTAGACACACATCTCCAGTCCAATTTTTTAGAAGTAACACTAGATTTTTATGGTGTTCAGGGTCAAACATCCCCATGAGTTTGGTAATTTATTGATTTGTCTCCTGGAACAGTGGCATAAGGAGTTTGAAGTGACCAACTGGTATAGTTACTTCTTGGTGGAAGTCTTCCTCAACTAGGACCCAGAATCCCTAATCCAGCAGAGCCTAAGATTTCACTGGTGAAAAACACAACTTCTTTAATTGTATCGCTGGGAGTGATGGGGAGAGAGACAAACTTTACTCCTGTACTTCATATCCTTGGCTTCCCTATTGTAGATATTATGGATACAGAAAAATATGCAAGTGATTGGAATGTGTATACTACATCCTGGAACAAAGCTCCCCAATCTCACACAGCACTGTCACCAAGCTGACCCTTTTGCTGAACTGTTAACACATAATGTTACTGTTGTATTAGGTTTGCTGTTTCTGGATAATGAGGTAGGATATATAGAAGTCCTTAGATAATGGTTCTGTCAGAGCACTGTGATAAGAGAGGAAGAACTTTATAAGTTTTTTTTTTTTTGCAGGTATCCTGTAAGAACAAATTGCTGCCTCCTCCAGGTGGAAAGGGATCAAATATAATTAATCTGTGTGTGCCACACAGTAGCTTGATAGTTTAATTGAGGAATGTTGACATATTGAGAGCTCAGCATTACTTTCTGCTATCAGCAGTGACGGTAAGTAGCTAACTCTTATTGAGATAAAGCCTGTGCTATTGGGCCCATACATAGTCTCTGTCTTTGCCACCAAAGCCACTTTATACTTATGACTATAAGTGTCTCAGCCACCACATTCCTGAATGCCTCACTGAACACCTATACTCACACTCACTGTACATTTCAACCAACAATGGGTTATTGTATTACCACCAAATGCAAGGTTATTAGCAATTCACTTCTATATATCTGGGGGATAGGCAGTCAGGGTAGAAATGCAGAATAAATAAGAGGAAAGTGAGAAGTGAAAGAAAAAGAAAAATATGTACTTCAAAGATAATGAGGTATGATATATACCTTTCATGTTCATTTAAATATACATCTATGTGTGCTCCCATGCATAGATATGTACTTATTTATATGCCATAATGCAAAGCAGTTATAATGAAATTGAGTTAGAATTGTGTGTCCTGACTTGTAGAACTGCATGTGTTACACTAAGTGAAAATAGAAGGTTGCAAAGTGGTGTGTACGGTATGATTCTGCATCTGTAAAAATAAATGCAATATATATTTGTATAAAGAGGAGTTTTTTAATATACAAAAATCATTTTATATTGATTAACATAGTGGGAGAACAAGATAAGTACAGGGGAGGTAAAGAAGACATCATGTTTAGCTCCATCTTTATATCCTTTTCCCTCTCTTCTTTCATTTTTTATACCGTAAGAAGGTATTATTCTGTGTTACCAATAATTCAATTTAAAAAGTAAAATATAAATACATATAAGTTTGGAAAAACATATAACAAAATGTCTAGATTGATTTTCTTAGGCTGAGTAAATGTTTCAGGTTGTCTTCTTCAAAATTTGAATGCTGTTTAAAATTAAATGATTTCTATAATTTTAAAATACAAAATAGTATACCAAATAAGGCAGTTGTGAATGTTGATCCTAACTCATGATGCATTTGAACACTCATGTTATCTAAATAGAATTACAATATTTTTTATTTCTCACTGAAAGATTAACAGCATCTTCTGTTCTAAAGAATGAAGTGAAAGTGGCTGAGACACACAGTGCACTGTGATATTTAGATGGACCTTTGCAATAAGTTTTAAAGCTGTGTTCTTATTATGTAATCTATTTTGTGGGCTCTGTTGAGAACAACTGTCCTTGTAGCCATTCAAGAGAAGCAGAGTTCAGGTAATCTCATCCTTTGCTCTACCTCAAAGTGGTTAACCCTCTCTCCTTTCTGTGCACACATTCCAGTCAGCACAAAGACACTTTTCATTACCTCCTAAAAACCACAACATCAGTATCTTTTGGATTTGTAGATAACCCTAAAATCATCATAAAGGGTCTTTGAGGCATCTGGTAAAGCTCTCTCACAGAGATGCTAATTGGAAGGAGGTGCTGGGCTTTTACACTTAAGCTCTATGTGTATTTAAGGTTGAACAAGATATAAAGTGAAAAGAGAAGAGAAAGTTATCTGCTCTCATGCTCTCATTTCTAATGTGAGCTCCAAGAGAGAAATTCTCTATAGAGCATCTTAAGACGTTTTAGAGGCATTCTTGACTTACTCCCTCCTGTAACACTTTATAATAATTTAGGGGATGAAAATATGTCTCAGATAGCTTGCTGGATTCCCTAAAAAAACAAGAAGGTGAAAATGGGAGAGAATATTAGTAGGCATGCACACATGTGTTAATACACACACACACACACACACACATACATAAACGTACACACAAACTGAGCATGGAAAGAAGAAAGGTGGGTGTTGGACAGGACAAAGGAAAAGGAGAGGGAGAGAGAGACAAAGAGAAAGAGAGAGAAGAGTCTCACAAAGGAAGAGTAGGAAAGGAGGAGAAAATAAAATCAACAAAGGTAGGTTTCACGCTTGTCTCAAATGAGTATGTTCTCCACAGCCTGTATTTATTAGCTGAAGCGATATACCAGACTGATAGTACTGGATAAAGAAGCTAAAAAGGCATATATCTTTGAATAATGTTGACAGAGATGAAGGGACATGAGTGAAGAGAGGAGAGTTCGGATCTGAAAATACATAGATGAGTACATGATGTAGATCCTTGATGACTTTAATATTGGAAAATAGAAAAGGTGCAGTGCTCTCATGTAGTAGGCACTAAAAACATGCTGGTGAGCTACCTCTGTATTAGGCAGTAAGTTTGTGTCACATATCTCCTATGAAGGGATATTTGTGGGATTATTTGCTCCCTAAAATCTTAGAAGAGCCAGCAGGCTCTATGAGAGACACTTTCTTACATTGTCTCCACAAAAAGTTTACTTGGGAAGCAAATACTGAGTACTGTAATATCAGAAGTCAGCAGGATATATTTTCTCAAGTACACAGCCCTTATATAATTACTAAATTTAATATAATTTTATTTCAAATGTACATTAAATGTAATGCTTTTGAGAGAAAAAGAATATATACACTCAAAATTCTTTCAAGGAATTCAAATAATTCCTCCAAAATAATTTTAAAATATATTATTAAGTTTCATTACATTAAATGTTTAATTTGTATACAACTTTGAAAATTAAAAACTTATTTTATTTCATAGATTTTGTGCTTTAATGAATTATATTACTATGGATATATATCTTCTTTGCCATAATGAATTAAAACTCTCAGTATTTTTATTGGTATTATACGCTGACAATCACTTTACTCAGAAATATTCAATGATGTAAATATTTTTAGCATAAACTTACATATTCGTATCAAAATTTTTTCTAGGCATGATTAAACAGGTAACTTTTCTTTAAAGTTTACCCATATGTGGTCATCCATATCTCAGTTTTCTACATAGATTACAAAGGCATACAACTTAGCTTCCAATTACTTTTAACCTTTCCTACCACTTCTTTAATAGAAAGGAGAACACAGCATCCTACATATCATAGTACAAAGTATAACTCTAAAGCTATTGCTATGTGATATATTGCACTAGAAAAAGGAACAAGTAATCGTTAACTGCATTTATGTAACACAGTACTACAAAACTGATTAAACTCTAACCTTACCCAACTCCTCTATAACTAGTGCCCTCAAAAAGCTCATTCTTTCACACATTATGCTTTGCTACTTCTCCACTCTGTCTGCAATTTTCATTTTATTTCTCTGCCTCTAGTTCCCCATTCTTCATGAATTCAGTAATTCATCTCTATAAACACATATTAAATTTCAGTGTTAGAAACGTAGTCCTCAAGCATCAGAAGGAGTGCCAGGATGAGGACTTCTGAAAAATCCTCTTTTCCATAAAAGCAATGAGAAAACTGGCTAAAATCAGCTTTTACAGAACTCTGGAAATTAACCAAAGGCTTGCAGCAATCCAGGGTGCATCATTCAAGAAAAATGGCAGAATCACAGTAAGAACAGTGAGCTTTGCCATTTGACTGGCTTATGCCCATTGCTGCACCATCTTTACAGTAGCTTTGAAAACCAACAGCCTGCAGTCACAGTGAAAACCAAAAGCCTGGCAGCCACTGGAGGGGGCAGAAGTGGATTGAATCTCCTTGAAACCCCATACCCAGACAATTGTCCTTCCTTGATATGTTTGGTAATTTTCCAGAAGATCCTATACAGAAGGTTTTTTATTTTACCTGACTCAGAGCTTGAGAGAATAGCCTTTTCTCTAGAGAAAACAACAAACAGTAGCAATTGTTTACTATCGTGACTGAGCCAGCAGTGAGTAACAGTTAGGGCAAACAATAGGCAAACAAAATAATCTCAGAAATGTGTTAAGCAAGTGGTCTATATTTCAAAAGTTTTGACACATTTCTGGGGTATAGAAGGCCACTTATATTGGTAGGGTTATGCATGTATTCAGGCCCTTGCACGTGATCTGTGCTTCCATTTCTCACTGACCTTGAAATTCAGCCTAAGCAGAAAAAGAAGGCTAAGTAAGAATTGTCAACTGTGTTCGTGAGTTTTAAAGAGATGATCCAAAATGCAGACACAGCCCCTTAGGAAAGACTGGAAAAAGTATTTGTTCCAAGCATTAAAGAAAATCTCTGTTTAACTATTAGCTGACCAGTAAGCTAAGTAAAGACTCCCACGTCCACACATGATAAAGAATAAAGACATTAGAGAATTAGCTCAGAGAAAGTAACTCATCCAACAGTCATAATAACAAAACCTGAGGAGTAGAGATTATATGATTTCCAGAACTCTGGAAATGTGTAGTTTTCACCAGAAGTGTTCTTACCCAGAAATAAAAAGTAGTCACTTGAAAATACCACTAAGAAAGCCCACATGTTGGATTTACTAGACAAAGACTTTTAAAATTAGCTGTTTTAATAAGGTGAAAGAACTAAAGAAAGCCACATCTAAAGATTTAAAGAAAAATGTGAGAATGATGTCCCACAAAACAGAGAATACAAATAGTGCTAGCAATTGTTTTTTTAAAAAAACTATACAAAATTTCTAATGTTGTATACTACAATAACTAAAGTGAAAAATTCACTAGAGGAGGCTTCAGCAGATTTGATCAGGCAGAAGTAAGAAAAAGCAAATTTAAAGACAGGTCAATTAAAATGACCCAGTGCGAGAAAAAGAAAGCAAATAATTGTAATTATAATAAATAAATAAATACAGAAAAATAAATTAGGCTTCAGACACCTGTGGGATACCATCAAGCTTGTTATATAAATAATGAGAATTATAGAAGAATAGGGACAGAAACACAGAAATGACATTTGAAAAAATAAGTGAAAAATTTCCAGATCTGGAGAAAAATATTAAATTATTTTGACTGGCTTATGCCCATTGCTACACTACATGCTGTGTACAAAGGGATACACATTAGATTCAAATAAATAGTTTAAAACTAGAAGATTGGAAAAGAATACCACACAATTCGTTGCCAAAAGATAGCAGGAATGGTAACGCTAATAAATTAAACATATAATAGTCTCAACAAACATCAAGAAGGAAAATTCAAAGATGTTTACACCTAGACACACTATACTCAAACTGTTGAAAGACTAAGATAAAGAGGGAATCTCAGAAGTAGCAAGAGAGAAGCAATTCATCGACTGCAAGGTAGCTATAATAAGAATAACTGTTGATTTCTCAGTAGAAATAATGAAGCTGTGAAGACAATGGTATGCAAATTTAAAGTACTGAAAGAAAAGTCTATCAAACAAGAATACTATTCTTCAAAAGTTAAGGATAAATAGAGATATTTTTAGATAAACAAAACCTGAGAGTATTCACCTCAAGCAGATCTGCCTGATAAGAAATAATAAAGGTAGTCTTTCAGGATGTAATGAAAGGATACTAGACGTAACTTGAATCAAGATAAAGAAATAAAAACTACCAATAATAGTAACTACATAGATAAATATTAAATATCATTATAAGTATATTTTTAATACTCCATAAAGTAATAATTATAAACTTGTACTTATAAAAATTCAATAATAAAAATGTATAAACGCATAACTTGTATGTCAATAAAATCACAAGTTTGGGGGAGAACTATATAGAAGCAAATATTTCATATACAATTTAAATAAAGTTAGTATTGACATGAAATAGCCTGTAATAAATTAAGATGTCAATTGCAACCCCAGAAAAGACACTGAGAATATAACTCCAAAATAATATGGTAAAAATGTTACAAGAGAATTACAGTGGTATCTTAGAAAATATCTAATTAGTACAAAAGAAGGAAATGATGTTGGAATAAAGAAATTAAGAAGACATAAGACATATAATAGAAAAATATAAGATATAAATTTTACCTTATCATTAATTACATTAAATAAACCTGTAAATAAATTACACCTTCAATCAAAAGGCAGAGATTGGCAAGATGGGTTTAAAAAATTTTTACCCAACTACATGCTGTCTACAAAGGGATACACATTAGATTCAAAGAAATACTTTGAACCTAGAAGATTGGAAAAGAATACCATACAATTAGTTGCCAAAAGATAGCAGGAGTGGTAATGCTAATATCAGACAAAATAGACTTTGTAAAAAAAAATTTTTACTAGAGACAAATGAAGACATTTTATAAGGATAAAATATCAACCCATCAAGAAGATATAACAATTATAAACATATTTCTGGGTATAACAGAGCCCCCAAATTTATGAAACATAAACAGAATTAAAGAAAAAAATATATATCTCATTAAGAGTTGAAGTCTTTAATACTTCATTTTCAATAGTAGATAGAACAACTAGGAAGGATAACAGGGAATACAAGGCTTGAATTATAAAGTAATCTAAGTATAGCCAATGGACATCTATAGAACACCATACTCAAGAATAACAGGATACATATGTTTCTTCTCAATTACACATAAAATATTTTGCAGGATAGACCATACTGAAAATGCCATAAAACAAGTTAAATAAATTTAAGAGGGCCAAAATCACACAAAAGTATGATTTTCTGATCATAATAAAATGAAATTAGAAATAAATAACAAAAGGAAATTACAGAAATTCATAAATGTGTGGAAATTAAACAACACACACACAAACAACAAATGGGCAGAAAAGGAAACCACAAATGAAAATTAAGAAATATGTTGATATAAATTAAAGAATATATAACATACCCAAACTTAGGAGATGCCGTAACAGCATTACTTAGAAAGAAATTTATAGGTGCAAACACTTACTAAACAAGAACTTAAATCATTAACCTAACTTTCCACCTTAAGGCATTAGAAAATGTGTATATTAATGTGAAACAAGAAAAATGATGAGAATTATACAGATCAGGAGAGAAATAAATAAAATGTAGAAAACAAGTAGTTTACCTGGACCAACCAAAAAAAAATTACTCTTTTCCAAAACCAGGAATGAAAACTTGAAGATCATTAAAAAGATTAGAGACATGAAAAAGATGAAAAAGCTATAAAAATATATAAGAAAAAGTTAAATAATGTAAATGGAATGGAAATTTTTTTGAAAGATTAAAAACTGCCTCACTGAAGGAGTAGAAAATCTGAATAAATCTATAACATAACAAAGATATGGAACTGATCATCAAAATTTTTCCACAAATAAAAGCCTAGGACTCAGTTGTTTCACTGGTAAATTCTAACAAACATTTAAATAATAACTAACAAAAATTCTTTTGAAACTCTCTCCAAAATAGAAGAAACACTTTCTCATTTTTGAGGCCAATATTACCATGATACTGAAGCCAGACAAATACATTACATAAAAATCATTTAAGTCTAATAGCTGGCCCTTATGATTATAGATTTCTTCACAAAATACCAGCAAACTGCATCCAGAATAATAAAATGAATAATTACCATGATCAAGTGGGATTTATCTTAAAAATGCAAGGGTGGTTCAACATACAAAAATCAATAAATGTAATTTATCATATTAACAGAACGGAAAAAATACACGATCTCTCAATAGCTGCAGAAAACACATCTGAAAAAATTCAGTGTACTTTCACTGCAAAAACACTCAACAAACTAGCAATAGATGTAAAGTCCCTCAATATAATAACAGATATCTATAAAAAATCTATAGCTAACACATTTAGTGGCAAAAGATTGAAAGCTGTTTCCCTAATTTGGACACAGACAAGGTAGTATGTGCTAGCTATTTCCATTGAACATTGTGCTGGAGTTTCTAGACAATGCAATTAAATAAGAAAAATAAATAAAAAACATTCTCATTGAAAAGTAAAAGCTATTAGTAAAGGATATTGTCTTATGTGTAGATATTCATAAGGAATACACACACACATACACACACACACATTTTAGAGTTACTCCAGCAAAAATAAGGAACACAAGATTAACATACAAAAATCAATTTTGTCACCACAAATGAACAATTTGAAAATAAAATTATGAAAATAATTCCATGTACAATAGCATCAAGAGGAATAAAACTCTTAAAAATAAAGGTAACTAAAGAAGCATAAGACTTGTGCACTGAAAACTGCAGAACATTATTGAAGGAAATTTAAAAAGAGCTAAATAAATGAAAATACATTCTGTGTTCATGGATTGGAAATGTAGTATTGTTAAAATGGCAATATCCCTTCACATTGATCTGAAAATTCAATACAATCTTGATCAGATTTCCAGTTGATTTCTTTTTTTTTTTTTTTTGAGATGGAGTCTTGCTCTGTCGCCCAGGCTGCAGTGCAGTGGCATGATCTTGGCTCAGTGATAGCTCTGCCTCCCAGGTTCACACCATTCTCCTGCCTCAGCCTCCCAAGTAGCTGGGACTACAGGTGCCCACCACCATGCCCGGCTACTTTTTTGCATTTTTTTACTAGAGATGGGGTTTCACTGTGTTAGCCAGGATGGTCTCGGTCTCCTGACCTCGTGATCCACCCGCCTCGGCCTCCCAAAGTGCTGGGATTACAGGCGTGAGCCACTTTGCCTGGCCTCCAGTTGACTTTTATGCAGAAACAGAGTTGATCCTAAAATGAATAGGGAAACGTATATGACCTAGAATAACCAAAATAATTCTGAAAAGAACAAAATAAGAAGACTAAAAATTCTCAATTTTAAAACTCAATACAAAGCTGCAAGAATCAAAACAGAGTTGTACTAGCATAAGAATCAACATACAGAACAAAGGAACTGAATTTGAGTCTAGATTGAAACCCATTATTTTGATGAATTTATTTTCAACAAAAATGACAAGACAATCTAATGGAGAAAAAATAATCTTTTTCCACAATGATGCTGAGTCAACTTGATACCCACATAAGAATGAATGAAGTTAGAAAAATATCTCACATCATATACATAAATTAACTCAAAATTTATCAAAGACCTAATGTAAAAGCTATAAAGTTCTTAGAAGAAAAATTAAGCATAAATCTTAGTGACTTTGAATTAGGCTCTGGTTTCTTAGGTATGACTCTAAAAACACAACAACAAAAATAGACAAATTGGAGCTTATCAAATTTAAAATTTTGCTGAATTAAAAGATACCATCAGGAATATGAAAATGTAGCCCACAGAATAGGAAAAAATATTTACAAATTATATATTCAGGATTTGTCTTCAAAATATATAAAGAATTCTGATGACTCAATGGTAAAAGGACAAATAACCCAAATAAAAAATGGGCAAACGGTATGAATAGACATTTCTCTAAGGAAGATATTCATATGAACAATAGCACATGAAAAGATGCTCAGCATTACTAGTTATTGTGGAGATTAAATTTAAAACCACAGTGAAATTTTACTTCACACTCACCATGCTAGCTTAAATTTAAAAATGTGGACAATAATAAGTGTAGCCATGATACAGAGGAATTGTACCCCTTATAAATTACTGTTAGGAATGGAAGATGGTGTAGCCACTTTAGAAAACATTTTGGCAGTTTCTTAAGAAATTAAGCAGAGTTACCATGTGACTCAGTAATTCAACTTCTAGGTGTATACCCAAGGGATTTAAAAATATATATACACACAAATCCTTGTACATGAATGTTCAAAGCAGTGTGATTTATAATAGCTGAGAAGTACAAATATGCCAAATGTTCATCCATTAATTAATGAATAACAAAATATAGTCTATTAATACCACAGAATATTATGCAGGGTAAAAAGAATGACTGTAACATGCTACAACTTACATAAATCTTAAAACATGCAAAGTGAGTCTAGGCGCAGTGGCTCATGCCTGTAATGCCAGCACTTTGGGAGGCCAAGGTGGGTGGATCACCTGAGGTTGGGAGTTCGAGACCAGCCTGACCGACATGGAGAAACCCGTTCTCTACTAAAAATACAAAATTGGCTGGGTATGGTGGTGCATGCCTGTAATCCCAGCTACTCGGGAGGGTGAGGCAGGAGAATCACTTGAACCCGGGAGGCAGAGGATGTGGTGAGCTGAGATTGTGCCATTGCACTCCAGCCTGGGCAACAAGAGCGAGGCTCTGTCTCAAAAAATAATAATAATAATAATAAACAGACATGCAAAGTTAAAGAATCCAGTCACAAAGGCCACATATAGTATGATTCCACTGCTCTAAAATGTCCAGAATAGACAAATCTATAGAGACAGAAAGTAGATTGGTAATTGACAAGGGATGCAGGCAGAAAGGATTTGGTCCTTCATGCTAATAGATATAAAGTTTATTTTGTGCTGATAGAAATGCTCTGGAATTAGTGCAATGGTTATACATTTGAGAATATATTGAAAGTCACTCAATTATATAATTTAAAAGGTGAATTTTGTGGTATGTACATTATACCTTAATTATAAGAAAAAAATAGTAGACCAGATAAATTAAATTCCACAGATGTTTACTTATCATTAATGTGAGTTAAAATTGTTGTCACTTTCCATATAATTCGGTATAAATTGTGTACTATTTATGATAATTGATAGAAAAAAATACATGTACTTTGATTTGGTTTTGGCCAGTTCTCTATTCTGTTTTATAGTTACCATGTACGTGTATTCATTTTCTTTACCTTTGTGTATTAAAATACTGACTTTGAGCCACAGAGTGACACTTGGAATTTTAGAAAGTTTAAAATCAGATTATGGAAAACCGTGATGCTGTGGATTGTTCAACCTCCCTGACAATAAATACTTTATAAAATGAGCACTTCTGAGTAACCTCTAGAATTTTAGGACTTACTTTTGGGAGTTTCCTATCTGTGGCTTCCTTCATATTAAATAATGAAAACTTATTTGATAACATTACACAGTTCAACTATATTGTTTTCTTCTTTCAGTGCCTAGTACAAATTACCTCCACTTGGAATAAATCAATGCAAAATTTTAATGTTTAGTTTCTTTTCGTATTATTGGAGTCAACATACTACTTTCCTAATACATTCTTTATAAACTCTAGGCAACAGCAAGGTCTAAAATGTCACAGGATCCTTTGGGTGTCGCTTAACCAGCTGGAAACCTCTGTGGCCAGCGGGTCTCTGCTTGAGTTTTGCTCACACCCACTAGGCCCATTCCACTCATTTGGCCCAGTAGGCTGCTCTTGGCTTGAGCTACCAGCCTGGATCCCATGCCTGCCAAGGGCAAGCCAGGTGTTGAGTGGTGAGGGATGTGTAAACAAGCAAGTGTGGGGTCCGGCCACTGCGCATAGCCAGGCACACTGGCTGCTGTGGGGTGGGGCAGGCAACTCCAAGCACCAGCATGGGCACTGGCCCCTTGTGAGGCTGAGGCTGGACCAGACATATGGAAAGTGGCTTCTGCTGTGTGCACCAGTGTCTGAATAAGGGAAAACGCAGTAGCGCCTGAAAACTCAGAGATGCCTGGAGCCACAGAGCCCCAAAGAGGGTGTTACAGCCTGTCGCAGTCCTGGCTCAAGGAGCCCCGAGGTCTATACAGCCAGAAGGGCTGCAGTTCTACTCTCCTCATTATTCACAGTGTGGTGAACAGGGAAGCACGTTTTAGTGGGATATGTTTCAGCACATTTGTGTTATAGCTGTTTCAGTCCCACCACTTTGCGCTGGGCCCATGACTCCTGGGTCAGCCCGGTCCCACTGATGCTTCCCGTCACTGACGCTTCCCGTTGGATGGGGTGGCTGCCGGGCACCAGCAGAAGGCAGGAGGACTATAGTGTTACAGCCCCTTTAGCTCCTGCCCACAAGTCGGCGACGTGGTCAGGGAAATGTTACAGCTCCTTTTGCTCCTGCCATTTGGCAGGTCCTGAGTTCTTGTCCCCCATCCAAAAAGAATGAGGTTTTGCTGATAACTGGAGGGTGAGCAAGGTGGAGAGGAGCTTTATTGAGAACTGGAGCAGCCCTCAGCAGAAGGGAGACCTAAAGTGGTTAGCTCCTTTCTGCAGGCAGGTCGTCCTTACCAGTGTCTGAGTCTGGCTGTCTGGTGCTTTTATAGGCTCATAATGGAGGAAGTACATGCTGATTGGTCCATGGACAGAAGGAAGTGATTGTTGATTGGTCCATGCGTGGGTCTGGAAAAAGCACCACTTGGTTGGTTGAATGGCATCAAGGAATTTTCTCACTCAGGGTCATGGACTTCACCAGGAACTGGCAACCTGACCCTTAGACTTAAAGCCATGCCTGCCTTGAAGGTGGGTTTCCCCAGGGACCCAGTCCTTCCCAACCAGGAACCTGTCTGTCTCCCTCCTCCATTAACATGCCCTCCACAGAGCCCAGGCTATCAGTACCAAGGGGCACCCGCAAGCCTACACCAAGCCACCATCAGCCCCAGGCCTCCCCTCCCCATGCTCATTAGTGCCCAAAGTTTCAGCCTCAGAAGCAGTTTCCAGATGGGCCTAAGGGAGGTAGTAGGGGGGCTGGGACGTCCCCCGAGTGCACACACTGAGCATACACGCCCCCAGTCAGGTCACAACAGTGCCTGGACTTGGCTATCAAGACATGTCCACATCTTTGTTCTGCACAAAGCTGGTACTGGGAACAGGAAGAGGCTAGGAAGTGGGAGCAGGCACTTCCAAGTCTGCGGGGACATGAGGATTCCCGGGGCCCTGAGAGGACAGGGATGCCCAGGTCCGAAGCTGTGGCTGGGCAGCTGCAGCTGCACCTGGGAGGGCAGGGGTCCCACCCTGCCAATTCAATAGGGTGCAGGGTTCCCGCTGAGATCACCTGTTCCTGGCCCCTGCTGTTTCTGTGGAGGGCAGCCCCAGCGATGCCTTCCCCACTGTACCTGGCACCCTCACAGCAGCCACTCCAGATGGGCTGCTGACGCCATCAAAATGAGAGTTTTGTTTTTCAGTGAAGTGTGCTCCTTTTTAAGATGTGTTAACATATCTCACTTTTGGAACCAATATTTGAGAATAAAAATTCTCTACCAGATGACAATTTTACTTAAAAAGTGTTCAGATAATAGTCATGTTGATTTTTACGCTGCTTGCCCTCATCTCTATTAACATTTTCACACATACCAGAGGAAGCACAATGGAGTCAGTCGCACCTCAAATTTAAGATCTAGATACTTTGTTTCTTTTATTGCGTCTATTCACCCCATTGGTGAGAAAAGGATTTCTACTTCAAGGTCATGATAGCTGAACATCTGACACCTGACATTGGACAGATAAGGACTACGAAATCCCAGAAGTTTATTAGTCACATATAATTACAGAGTAGTCTGGGACCACACTTTGAAGATCACTAGAGAAATTATCTTTAAAATCTGGAATCAGGTTGAAATGATCACTGTATTAGCCAGTGTTGCTGTGGAAAAATCTTCCAAATGTCAATGTCTTTCAATCGCAATGTTATGTTTCTGGCTTACGTTTTATAAGAATTGGTGGTTGGCTTGGGCATGCTCTTACTGCTTCTCTCATCTACCTGCCTTCTTTATTATGAGAGAAAAGCTCAATCTGGGACATATTATTCTCACAGAAGAAAAAAAAATGAGCACACGAACTATTGAAACTAAAAGAAGGTTCTTAAATAATGTACAATGAACTGGAATGCTGTGATTTTCACACCTCCTCTATCAGTAAAAGTGAGTCCCATGACCGAATCTGATGATAACAGAACCAGGAGGTGCACCCATCTCATACAAATAAGTCCGTATTATGAGGCAAGGGTCTATACTTTTCTTGTAAGGTTATAACTGGAGAAACTTATTTATTTATTTTTTTAAAATTTCAGTAGCTTTAGGGGTAGAAGTGGTTTTTGGTTACATGAATGAATTGTGTAGTGGTGAAATGTAGGAAATTAGTGCACTCATCACCCAAGTAGTGTACATTGCACCCAACAGAGAGTTTTTCATCCCTCATCTTCCTCTTATCTTACTCCACTAGGAGTCTTCAGTGTACATTATGCCACTTATTTTTTTTTTTTGAGACAGAGTCTCATTCTGTTGCCCAGGCTGGGGTGCAATGGCACCATCTCTGCTCACTGCAACCTCCACCTCCCAAGCTGAAGCAATTCTCCTGCCTCAGCCTCCCAAGCAGCTGGGATTACACGTGTGTGCCACCATGCCCAGCTAATTTTTGTAGCTAATTTTGGCTTTTTTTTTTTTTTTTAGTAGAGATGGATTTTTGCCATGTTGGCCAGGTTGGTCTCGAAATCCTGACCTCAGGTGATCCACCTGCCTCGGTCTCCCAAACTGCTGGGATTATGAGAGTGAGCCACTGTGCCCAGCCATTATACCACTCTATATGTCTTTGTGTATCCATAGCTTAGCTCCCACTTAAAAGTGAGAATATAAGGTATTTGGTTTTCAATTCCTGAGTGACTTCACTTAGAAAAATGGTCTGCAGTTCCGTCCAAGTTGCTGCAAAAGACATTATTTTATTCTTTTTTATGGCTGAGTAGTATTCCATGGAATATTAATTATATTATATATATGTTTAGATATATGTAGTGTGTGTGTGTGTATATATATATATATATATATATCACATTTTCTTTACTCATCAGTTGATGAGCACTTAGGTTAATCCTATATCTTTGCAATTGTGAACTGTGCTGTGATAAACTTAAATGTGCAGGTGTCTTTTTGATAAAGTGACTTCTTTTTCTTTGGGTAGAAACACAGTAGTGAGATTGCTAGATTGAATGGTAGATCTAATACTTCTGGTTCTTTGAGAAATCTCCGTACTGTTTTCCATAGAGTTTGTACTAATTTACATTCCCAGCAGCAGTGTATAACTGTTCCTTTTTAAAAATCACATTCATACCAACATCTATTATGTGTTGTTTTTGTTTTCTTTTATTTTTTTTTACTTTTTAATTATGGCCATTCTGAGTGGTGTAAGGTAGCATCTCATTGTGGTTTTAATTTGCATTTCCCTGATGATTAGTGGTATTGAGCATATTTTCATATGTTTCTTGTCCACTTGTATATCTTATTTTTAGAAATGCCTAGTTATGTCCTTTGCCCCCTTTTTGATGAGATCATTTGTTTTTTTCTAGCTGATTTGAGTTTCTTGTAGATTCTGGATATTAGTTTTTTGTCACATGCATAATTTGCAAATATATTCTCCCATTCTGTAGGTTGTCTATTTACTGTGATGATTATTTGCTGTGCAGAGGCTTTTTAGTTTATATAGTTTCCATTTATTCATTTTTCTTTTTGTTGAATTAGCTTTTGGGGTCTTAGCCATAAATTTTTTCCCGCAGCCAACATCCAGAAGAGTATTTCTTAGGTTTTCTTCTAGAATTTTTTGTGGCTTCAGGTCTAAAATTTAAGTCTTTAATCCATGTTGAGTTAATTTTTGTATATAGTAAGAGATAGGGATCCAATTTTATTCTTCTACCTGTGGCTATCCAATTTTTCTAGCACCATTTATTGAATTTCTCCAACTTATGTTTTGTATGCTTTGTCAAAGATATGTTGGTTTTAAGTACTTGATTTTATTTCTGGGTTCTCTACTGTTCCATTGTTCCATGCATTTACTTTTATACCAGTACCATGCTTTTTTGGTTACCATAGCTTTGTAGTATAATTTTAAGTGAGGTAATGTAATGCCTCTAATTTTTTTTTCTTTTTGCTTAGGGTTGCTTTGGCTATCTGGGATCTTTTTTGGTTCTATATGAATTTTACAATAGTTTTTTAAATAATTTTGTGAATACTTATGTTGGTATTTTGATAGGAATTGCATTGAATCTATAGATTGCTTTGGGCAGTACAATCATTTTTATTTGACTCTTCTAATTCATGAGTATGGGATATATTTCCAGTTTTTTGTGTCGTCCACGATTTATTTCAGCAGTGTTTTGTAGTTTTCCTTGTAGAGATCTTTCATCTCTTTGGTTAAGCATATTTTTAGATATTTTTGTAGCCATTATAAAAGCGGTTGAGTACTTGATTTGATTCTCAACTTGGCCATTGTTGACATATAGCAATGCTACTGATTTGTGTACATTGGTTTTATAACCTGAGACTTTAGTGAGTTCATTTTTAGATCTAGAAGTCTTTTGGAGGAGTCTTTAGAGTTTTCTAGGTATAAGATCATATCATCAGCAAAAAGAGATAGTTTGACCTCTTTTTTCCCAATTTAGATGTCCTTTATTTTTTAGTCTTCCCTGATTGCTCTAGCTAGGGAAAAACAAATTTAATTTACAATGCTCCACACATTTTATTACAAAATTTCATTGCTCTTTCTGTGCACACAGTACATTTGCTTCCTAACCAAAGAAAACACCTACAAATTATCATCACGTCACAGCACCAGACTCAAAGTGTCCTGATAGTCCCGATTTCAGGTCTTAATATGTTTTTTCTCTATCAAGAAATCTATGAAATAACAGTAGGCTATTTACCCCATGTACACAACAAGTACTACTAGAATGTCACAGGATAACTTTTTTAAAATCCCATCTTCAAAGGGAAGAATAGTAAAAAGCATGTAGGGACCCCACCTATTCTAAAATCCCATTGGACAGGTATTGCAATGGGCTTCCATCCTGAAGAGTTGGAAATATTCCTTGGTTAGATATTCTAATCTAATTCCCTTCCAGGGATTTGTCTCACAGTCCATTATTTTTCATTTCTTTTCAATCCAGACTTCTGGAGGTTTTACTTTTTTTCACTTAGTCACATCTGTGGTAGCTTTTGGCTAATATTTTCTTCTGGAGACTTAGCAAATTCTTTCTCCTGTTTTCTGCCTATAGAAGCTTGGGGAACCAGATTTGTTTTAGGTCTGAAAACTCACAGTCTCAATTAGTAAAAATGAAAGTTCTTCTGTTAATAAAACTTACTAAAATATTTAGTCAGCTTTTCCTCTGTTGCCAGTCAGCTCCACGAGTCAATAGCTATACCCACAATAATTGTTAAGTCTTGCTTCTCTCTGGTTTTAATTGTTGGCATTTTTAATTCATCAGGCTATTTTTTTCTTTCTGTATATAAAGGCAAAACATTGCTGGACATATATTAGGCATTCAGTAAATATGTATTAGATAAGTGAATGATGAACAGTCAAAAAATTACTTATAAAATTGATTTAATAATACCAATAATCAAATAATTGCAAATTATTAAAACAGGAGATTTTCTTTTCAAAAAATATTATTCCCATTGTGGGCTAGAACACAGGGAAATGGGTAACCACATTATATAAATTTATACAGACTTCCTAAAAGACAATCTAGCAATGAATATTAAAATTTCCAAAAGTGTTATAGCCTCTTATATCCTGGCAACACAAGTTTAGAACATGTGGGAAAAATATGTAAACAAGGATATAAATTACAACACTGGATACATCTATATTATCCTACAACAAGGAATTAGTTCCATACATAATGAAATATTTATTGTGAATTATTATGCAGTCATTAAAACTATCTTTCCCAAGATATATAACTATAAATGTATAGTTACATCTGTACTTTTATATACATATGTATATGTATGTGTCTGTACAATGTATATGTGTGCATATTTATACACACACATACATATACACACACATACACATACACAATTATGTATATATACGTAAAATTTTTTGTGTGAGTATAAACTAGGAAAATAAAAGTAGCCATTTGTGTGGTGAAATTCCACTTCCATTTTAAAAGATTATATATATATGCATATAAGTATTCATATGTACAAATAATAACTATAAAAATGTAAATATCACAGTGGTTATTGGATCATACATTATTTGCATTTTTCTTTCTTTGTGTTTATCAATATATTCTAACTTTTGTAAAGTGAACATAGATTAGTTCTAATTAAAAACTCAATAAAAGTAAAAGAGGCAGCAAAATATAAAAAAGACTATTGAGGTAAAATACTTCATGATTTACTAATGGAGAAACATAAAATTAAAGCTTATAAATGTGACTAATAATAAAAACAAGTTTATTTTGTATGGTGGTAATATATTAAGAGCACCATCTTTGTTAAAACCAAGCAGATAGTATGTAAGATATTCCTATATATAAAAATGTATATTTTCAAGTATAACTGACTAGTTTGACATAGAAAAACAAGTCAAGATAAAAGAATCAAATTCAACTCAAAATTAGATTGTTTTCTAAAAATAAATTGATTTCACTTTAAATAATGATTCTTCTTTAATTTCTGTTATTGCTTTTCTCATCTTCATTACAAAGGGTCTAGGTTAGGAGTTGGGTGGACCTGAGTAGCAATAAAACATGTCTCAGCCAGGCGCGGTGGCTCACGCCTGTAATCCTAGCACTTTGGGAGGCTGACGCGGGTGGATCACGAGGTCAGGAGATCGAGACCATCCTGGCTAACACGGTGAAACCCCGTCTCTATTAAAAATAAAAATAAAAAAAATTAGCCAGGCGTTGTGGCAGGTGCCTGTAGTCCCAGCTACTCAGAAGGCTGGGGCAGGAGAATGGTGTGAACCCTGCAGGCGGAGCTTGCAGTGAGCCGAGATGGCGCCACCGCACTCCAGCCTGGGCAACAGAGCGAGACTCCATCTACTCCATCTCAAAAGAAAAAAAAAATGTCTGATTTGCCATTTCAATCTGCATGTGCTGCAATGGAACCTCTGTTCCTCCAGACTCATATGACACATTAGTGAATCTGAATCAGGGCCAGGAAAGGTAGAGTAGTGTGAGAGAACAACTGTGAAAATCCATGCAATTGTTTTATAGGAAAAATTTCAGTGAGGAAATGTCTCCTTGCATCTCCTTTCTTACTCATTTCCCTCAAAGAAATCATATGTATTTCTGTTTTTAGGTCTTTGTTTAGTACTCTTCTCTCAGGCAAATCTCATGTATTAGTCAGGGTTCTCCAGAGAAACAGAATCAACAGGAGACACATGATAGATATGTAAAACGATTTATTACAAGAAACTATCACACAATTTTGGAGACTCAAAAGTCTCAAGATCTGCTAACTGGTAAGCTGGAGACCCAGGAGGGCAGATGTAGTTCTAGACCAAGTCTGAAGGCCTGAAAGCCTGGAAAGCCAATGGTATAAGAGCCAGTCTGAAAGCCAGCAGACCCAAGAAGAGCCAATCTTTTACTTCAAGTCTAAAGGCAAGAAAAGACAGATATCCCAGCTCATGCACTCAGGCAGGAGGAGTTTCCTCTTACTAGTGGAAGGGTCAGTTTTTTAATTCTATGTGAACCTTCAACTGATTAGATAAAGGCTGCCCACATTAAGGAAGGCACATTGCTTTACTCAGTCTACTAATTCAAGTGTTAATCTCATCAAGAAGCACCCTCAAAGACAGAATAATGTTTGACCAAATATCTGGGCACCCAATGGCCCAGTCAAGTTTGCATATAAAATAAACCATCATATGTACATCAGTACATCTTGCCTTAAAATGTTTATTTTTAAGGATATGTTTATTTTAAGTACAACCATCTTGCCTTAAAATGTTTATTTTTCAAGGATATGGATTCATTTCTACATAAATTTACTCCACCAGCATTTACTGATCACCTACTCTGAGAAATCACTCTCTAAACTCTGGGGATGCAGTTCTGAGGAGGATACAGTTCTGTCTTCAGAAAATGCTGATGGAAATAATTTTAATGAACAGTAATGGTAAAAGGAGATAAACGAAAACAGAATCAATGTGTGCAAAGTGACAGAAGTAAGTACCAAATATGTTTATAAGAAGCAGAAGACCAAGTGTGCTGAAGTATAAGATACCAAAAAGAAGTAGAGAGAATATGGCAGAGAAGAGAGATTTGGAATATCTTATCCATTAAGTCATTAAGTCAAGTTGTTTGCTTTTATTATTATTAACAATGGAGAGCTATTGACAGCTTTAGTCAGCATGGGCTTGATTAAACAATGGGAACTGTTAATGGGTTATTGTGTATAGAAATACTTCATAAAGGAAATAGTGGAGAGAGAAAACTAACTAGAGGGTTAATGTCATAGATCAAGTGAAAGGTAATAAGTGGTTTAAAAAGTTCCAGTATTTGGTAAGAATGGATATTATTAGGTAAAATTAAGAAGTCATAACAATATATTTTTAAATGGTAGGTGTGAGAGCGAAGGTTCAACTGTAATGTTTAAGTTACTGGGAGAAGAGAACTATTATTCTGAAACAAGGAAGTCATTATGGGTACCTACTGAATTGAGGACATAATATTTATTCTGAGCCATATTAAGTTCATTGTGCTAGTAATACATACAGGTAGACATGTAGTCTGGCTCTCAAGTGGTAATCTTGACTATTCTATGACTTTGGTAGTCTATCCATGTGCACTTGTAAATTAGGTTTATACACGAATCTTTTTCCTCATTTCCCTGGCACAAACTGCCTGCCTTTTCCTCAGCTTTCTTCTCTCTTCTTTCTAAAGCCTTAGAAGACATTGGCAACTAGCCCATGTCAGTAAGTGACAATAGACTTTCCCTGCTCCACCAACACCAACACGATTGCTTTTTAATGGAGGATTTCTGCATACACAATTGCTGTGTTTCAAAAGGTTGATCTCTCAGGATTTAATTTAGATAATCAGAAATTGTTAACAGGGAAAGTAATTGGGGCATAGGATATTAGAGTGGTCTCTCAATGCCTATTGTACTATGTAGGATTAACCACTGTTTGATTTACCTAGGTTTGATCTTTGTCATCATAAAGTTGACTCAGCTACACAAAAAAAGATGCATATTTTAGGACTGTTTTGTTACAAGTCCAATTTATGTTTCTGTGATAAATCAACTTATTCTTTATCTCAGAAGCTTGAAATAATTTCATTGGCTCCTGTTTATATTATGAATCAGCCCATTAATTAAGTCCTAATCCTAAGTGTAGAAAGACAGATTTATTTTGTTAAAAAAAACTGTATGCACAGCATTAATTCAATTTTGTAAAAACTGTGCATGCATATATATTTGGAAAGATGTCCAAAGAAATATTAAAATTGGTAACCTCTGAGCAGTAAGATTAAATGTGATTTCAAATTTATTCTTTATTCTTTGTCGTATTGTTCAAATTATCCATAATGAACATGTATTACTTTTATAATCTGAAAAAAAATTCAGAGAAAGTAAAAGGGTTATTCATCACATAATACATTTATGGAGTAGAATTCACTTGGCCTTAAAGGCGTGCAAAATTCCCACCCCAAAGACAGCCGGGAAGGAAACATATCAGTGCCAACACAGCAACCTCAGACTTCTGTGTAGATTGGGGCCATTGTACAGTAGCATTACGCTCACAACGACCTGCTCAGTCTCTCGTGGCAACTATTGAATTCTGACTGAGGCCACTCCTGTTCATTCTCTTGCCTACTAGCGTAAGTCACTTGGTTGGGCACAGCTTAATTCTTGACTATGGATTTCGTGAACTCCTCTTATAAAATGGTACAATTACTGCAGGTCACGAACATCAAATGCCACTAACACTTCCAGCTGTGACCACGGAATAGCCTCCCAACAGAAGTACTGCAACATGGTAATAATAACATCCCAGCTGTAGCCACAATCACCGAAATCACTGACAGTGTCAATAATGTATAAAACCCCATGGAAACTCAACTGTACTTGCCAAAAGGCATTCATCAATTTCATTGCCTTTTATCTACCATTTAAAATGGTCTGGTTTTAGTGTTAGGGTTTTTAAAATAAATGACTAGGGTAAATAGGCCCTGGCTGAATTGCTCACTATCTGCTGTGAATTGCTTCTCTAAATGTTGAGGACGTGAAGTTCAGCCTTAACCACTCAAGTACATTCTGTATCCACTACATGTTAGGTGATGGGATGTGAGCAAAGAGAGTTGAGTATCCAGAGAGGTGAAATTTACTAAGCCCCATTACAGCTTAAGTTCATTTAAAGCATTGTCAAGGACATGGTGAAAATACAGGAGAGGGAACCGCTTTGATTTCTTAGAAGCCAGTCAGCTTTTGGAAGATCTAAGATAGTGAAAATGTGGGAAGACTGAAGAGAAAAGGTCTATTTAACTGATGCTAGGAATAATAAACTGTAACAATCACTACACCTTACAACAGTGTTTTCCTGTATTTGCTCAAATACTCTGCAGAGGAGATAAAACAATTGCTCGTAACATTTGAGCAAACTGAAATTACTGTAACTGCGGATAGGAAAAACTAAAACAGAAATCAAAAAAAGAATTGTTTGTTGTATAAAACAATTATTGAATATCATATTCTTTTAATATGCTGGTCATTATTATTATTGTAACTTGAACTTGTATGATTATTTAGCTTGTCATAGCTCTTTCAAATATATTACTCCACTGATAATTCACCAAAATTCTGTTAAATTTTATTATCCCCATGTATTACATATAGTAATACAGATCTCAGAGAGGCTAAAATATGTCTGGTATCACACGGCTTGTTAGAAAGCAAAATGAACAAAAGAACATTGATATTCTGTCAGATCAGCTGCTCTCATCTACAAAATTCTACCTTTCCTTGACTATGTGCTCTTTGTTGTGGATAAATACCTATCAAACCTCAGAAAACCTGTAGTTTGTAATCTCATGTTTTAGGATGTGAATGTCTTCTAATAATTTTCTCTTCGCTGAGCAGAAGAGTATAACTTTGGGCTAAGCAGGACAAATCTCCCAAGAGCTAGCTAAAGGCCCTTCCAAAGTGGCAGAAAATAAGAAATAAAGAATATATATACATCCTGCTGACAGGTCTGAAAAAAAAAGAATCTATAAAAAGAAACTATAGTGAACATATAGGTGGTTTGACCATGTTTTTATATTTTTTCATTTATTATTTTTTGTAAAAATTTACTAATCAATTTGAATAATAATTTAATAATTACTTCGTCAATGTTGAGGATTTAATGGAGAGCAAGGTAGATGTGGTCACAGCTCTAGCTTTACAATTTAGAAGAAGAGATAGAAATATAAATATACACATAAATATATGTGAAAAATAAATATATCAAATTTGTAAGTTCTATGAAGAAAACTAGATTTAATGATGAAGTTAAAAAGCATAACTTTGATAAGATAGTCAAATAATACATCTGTGAAAAGATGGCATTTAAGTCACAATAAAATATATTTACTTACCTGAGTAATAAATGGAATGTAGAAAATAAATTTCCAACGCAAGTATAAGTGATTTTCAAATATTGAAAGTCACCTAGATACAGTACAAAGTTTTGAAAAGTCTGTTATGAAAATTGAAATTACTTGATCAAAATGCTCCACTGGGATATTATGAATGAAGGGGTAAATTCTGCTGAATGTGAGATCGCCTGAATGTGAAGAAGTGAAAAAACAGAAGCAGTATCGTTGTACCCCTTTTATCCGCCTCCACTGCCAATGAATGGGATTAAAACTGTATTTCAGTTGAAAGCTTTATATGTTACTTTCATCCTGGAGATATTATTTCACAGCCTTTCAAATGTGGTACTCTTTGGTGTATTGTGTCTTAAAAAGCTGTCAGGTTGAATATACAATATATTCCAAAATGAAAGAGAATTATGACTTATTCCCTTGTGAGTGTGATACTTGTCCCTGAATTGTTAATAACCAAAGATATAAAGTTGTTCATTATTTTAAAATTCAGCAATTTTTTCAATGTACAAATATTCATGTAAATGAATAGCCTAATACTTGACATGATTTAGTTAGAGAAACTGCTGTTATAAAGTTTTAAATATGCCATATCCTAGAACTAACACAAATCTAAAGCTGATATGAGCTAGGCTGATTATATTACCCATTTTCCTTAAAATTTTTATGTTATTTGTTTTCTTATAGCAAATTTTATTATACTATCCAACATTAAACCCTTATCACTGTCTAACCAACATGGCAGATTCCAATATCTGAAATAAGTCAGAAAGTTGTTTCTTATTGGAGTTGTTCAAAGATGAAAAGGCTGTCTTGCAAAGTTGAGATTTTCCACCCTAGATGTTTTCATGTAAAGAATGAATACTCATACATCAGGGAATGAAGGTTATATTCTTCATGCTTTGAAATTTTTTCTATAATCCTATGACCTAAGATGAGTCTATCTAAACTTATGATACCAGTTGGAAAACAAAACAATGAGTTCAGTCAAACACTTTGAACCACTTTTGAACACCATGCTGATGTAAATTTTATCCACAAAATTCAATTAATAAAAACTTGATATCACGGTTTTAATAATATGATTATATTTTCATTAATAAAGAATATGATAGACTAAATAAATCTCATTTTTAATTATTTGTAATAACCAGTACATGGATTTGCTTCTGACATAAGGTGTGCCAAATTATCAAGAGTGAAGATCTTGGTATGCTAAAAAGCAAAAAGACTGGCAGTAAGAAGCTTAGTTTATTTTTACCTCTACAATTTATTAGCTCTGCAATATTGTACATTTCTTTAGCCTCTCTGTACCTCACTTTCTGTACCTAGATAGGAGTTGAAGTTGAAGGATTTCTAAATTTATTATAACAATGTGATTCTCCAAGGGAGAGTACAGTTCTTTGATAATAAGCAAAAAGGCTGGCCGCGGTGGCTCATGCCTGAAATCCTAGCACTTTGGAGGCCAAGGCGGGCTGATCACCTGAGGTGAGGGGTTCAGGACCTCTTGACCAACATGGAGAAACTCAGTCTCTACTAAAAATACAAAAATTAGCCAGGCGTGGTGGTGCGCACCTGTAATCTCAGCTACTTGGGAGGCTGAGGCAGGAGAATCACTTGAACCCAGGAGGCAGAGGTTGCAGTGAGCCAAAATCATGCCACTGCACTCCAGCCTGGGTGACAGAATGAGACTCTGTCTCAAAAATGATAATAATAATAATAAGAATAAGAAGAAGAAGAAGAAGAAGAGAAGAAAGAAAGAAAAAAACCTACTGTGTATGTCATTTTCACCTTGATTTGATTTGATTTCTCTGCTCATAGATTGAAACGCTTTAATTTGCCAGTATGTTGTACTGTTTAGGGATGTGGATTCCGCAGACTCCCTGGGGTTGAATCCTTGATCTCTCATGAACTAGACGTGTGATCTAGTATGTTTTTAAATTTTATCTACACCTCAGTTGTCTGATCTGTAGGGGATAATGATAAAATGCATAAATTGTCATGGGGACTGAATTTGCACATGTAAAAATGCTTAAATGGCTTCTGACACATAGTAAGTGTTCAATAAATATTAGCTATTTTTATCTTGTTCAATATTTTATTCATTTTACCTTTGGTCTCATTTTGGGATAAGAACAATATAAAAAAGGAGCTATAAGTCTATGTCTTCTTAAAAGCATTACCCTATATTAATGTGCCTGCATAGAAAAGATGATAGTTGTATATAAAAGGAGTTTTAGGATACTTTTCAAACTAAAAGCATTTCAACAGGTAGAATTGTAAAAGTTGATTGTCTATGCTTCACTCTGTGATTGTTTAATACAAAAATTTGGCTTTTTTTCTTTGATCCATATAATAGACTTTCTTAATTTTGATACCCAGAAATGAACTTAAACATACAGTATAAAGTATATATAAAATATAGCAGGAAATATTGCTTAGACATAACAGCTCTACATATTGATCTAAATTTGAATCAATCATCATTTCAGGTTTTATAATTGCTAATGAAAAAGAAGATTTTTCCAAAAGCCACGACTTAGAAATGGACTTCAAGTTGTTTTCCCTGGTCACATGCCATAGTTTCCACAAACGCCACATGATTAAATCCTTTAAATAATGCAGCACTTTTGGGTATCTAAAATAGATGCATGAAAGTGGTAACTTTGTCCAAACACCTTAAATATGTCTTCTTTTATTCTTGCTTTCTTTTCTGACCTGGATCTGGCTGCCAATGCACATGAAAGAAATTACAAAAGCTTCTCAGTCACTGCGACTCAGGTTCCTTTTGCACTACAGCATTTGTCATTGCCAAAACAGCAGAGTTTAATTAAGTGTTGTGAGCAGCCTAGTGAGAAACACACTTTAAATTAAACCTCTGTACATGCAGCTATTGGTTCTTTACCTCCTGAACAATCAGCGGGGTGTTAGGCATAAATTCCGTCTCTCAAGGGAAATGTAGCTCCACGCACCTCTAGCGATTCATAAATGATCCTGCTTTCTCAGAACCATATCTTATTAAAGCACATTTAATTATTTCTAAGTTTTAAACACCGATAGATGAAGGCCATAATTAATGTGCCTACCACTAAACATTTTATTTACTCTTGATATATTAATGGTATTATCAAGAAAATATGCTACAGTTTCAAGTTTAACAAAATTACATGGCAAATTATCTTTTGATGCATCAAGCAATTGTTAATATAATGGAATAAATTATTTTAACACCTCAGTAGTAATGGATGGGTAAAAGAAAGTAAGCATTTTAATTTTCAGAATGTTTTTGCAATTACACATTTCAGAAGACAGTTAAATCAATGATCCAAGTGTTTGGAATTTTAGAAACAGAAACAAAAACAATTTAGAAAGGTGACTTGTAGGCTTTGGGTTTCTTACATGCAAGAGATGTATCAATGTAACTGATCTCATAACAGCAAAGTTCTGGTAAAAGGTTTGGATGAAAAAAATGCTGTTTCTGAAAATTATATTTTGATGTGCTCAGTCACACAAACTTTCAAATTTATATTTTTTCTTAAAATAAAAAGATTAGCATGTACATTTTATATACATTTGATTAAATACAGTCTCATAAAATAATGGTGATTTTTTTCTAAACTGGACAGTCTATCAGTGCAAGTGAACAGTCAGGATAAATGACTACATTCATAAAATATTCTTGACTTGTTCAACAACACCATGGGGCAATTTCACACTCTGAAGGACATTCTCAGTGCAGGCCTTCTACACAAATGCAGAAAAGATGAAAAGATGATCTATTATTCATTAGAATTAGGCACACATATTTATCTCTCCTCCATTAATCTCCTCCAGATTAATGGAGGAGAGATAACTTCTATGTTTGGTAAATTTCAATAAAGTTGATGCTGCTACATGCTGTCCATTGATTTGGAAGTTCTTGCCTAGAACTTTTGAAACAAAGGAAAAAATGTAAAGATAATAGCAATATTAATTTTCATACACTTATTTATCTATATTTTTACCTAGAAGACTCATCTCTAAAATCGCTGTTAACACTGTGATTTTAGTCTTTTCATTCTGTGCAACTTACAAGTAGGTAAAGTAGATTTCAGTGATTATCCTTAAATATGCAAGAGATACACACACACTAGTACTCATTTGAAACTAGCTTGAAGTCTAAAATATTTCTGAATTAAAGTAACTTGCAGGATATTAATTGACTTAATTTTATATGATTTATCTTAGAAACCTGTAGTTGTTAATTAAAATTAAAGTTTTGTATGTGTTATTTTACCTTTTTGATAAGGGCTTCAAAGAGAATATGTATGTTTAATTATTTTAGGAATGTATCCTAGATACTAATAATTTATGCAGTTCTTATAAAATAGTTAATGATTACTGACATCAGTAGATCTGAATGAATTGATAACTTCACATTTTTCTATTTATGTATCATTTCTCCGGAGTCCTCTCAATGCTGTACATGCAGTCCCCCCACATGGCTATTTATCTTTTCTTCCACTTTCTTTACAGTCTCCATTTCCTCCACTTTGTTTATTCTCCAGTATTCTCACTCTTATTGCAATTGAGACTGGCAGTAAAAAACAAAGCCATAGGACAAAAATCTGGTTTGGAACATACAAAATTAAAGTTGCTATATAAGAACAAGGGGAATTTAGGGAAGTTGTAGGTCAATTTGTTTAATGAATGGCAACCTCTGCTCGAAAAATTTTCCTTTCATATTCCTAAAATAACTTCACTTGCTGGTTTTACACAAGTGAACATTTCACCAATGAGAGATTAATTTGTTTTAATAAGCACTCTCTTTAAAAATGAAAATACCTTTGGGAGTGTTTAGTGACTAATACTTCTTACCTTAATATGAATAGGTTCAATTAGGCTGTGTCCCTCTAACCTTCTAGCTGGTATCTACTGCCCTGAGGGAATGGGGGTTTGGGTGGTAAAAAAATACATAGTCATTAATCCTAAAGCTTATCATGGTTTGAAGAATAAGTTATGGAGGAGGGGAGAGAAGGTGTTTCCTGTCATTGTGCCCAAGAGCTAAGATTCCCAGCTAGATTTTCTTGGTTCAAATTCCAGATCTACCACGTTAATTGTGTAGGAGTGGTCAATTTAATTAGCTGAAGGCGTCTTAGGTAAAATAGGGATGATAATAATATTGCCCATTTCATAGGGTTGTTTTGAACATTAAATCAGTATAAAATGGGTATACAATTTTCAGCACACAGAAAATTTTTTAAAACGGTAGCTAATTCTATTTTACCTTTTTGGTGAGAAAATTATCAGGCAATCAAACATTAACATTCTTAAGTCAGATGAAATAAAGATTTTTTAAAATGCTTATCATTTGGGTCCTTCTCCGGCCTAGCTTTTAACGCAAAATTGTAAACATTCCATGGCAAAGCCTTGGCCTAGTCTCATTCTGCGATTGCTTCTGCATTCAGTATCAAGTAATTTGTTGTTTATCCCTTCCTATTACTGCATTAGCTCCATATCTTGCCTCAAGCCTGGTTTTGCCTTTTTATATTATGTACCTTAAGGAATCTCTCAGTTCCAATGTTAGACACTGACAGTAGAGTTGGCAAAAGCTGCAGCAGGGGCATAGAGATCAGATGAGTTTCGAATTGAAAGGGGCTAGAAGGTTAGAGAAATTCAGGGCTCAAAATAGAAAATTTCAAGAACCAGGACTTGAAATCAGTAATCTGCGGTATTTCTGTCTCAAAGATAGTACTAAAGTATTTAGGGTACCTGGACTACATGGATAAACATGAGCCAAGCTTAAGCCCTAATCCAAACTTTGAAAAATACACAATTGTTCAAAACAAATAATGTGCTAATAAAATTTTAGTATACAATTTACTTCTGAGAAGTGCTATAATTTAAAGGACAAAGTCCCAAATACTGATGTTGGAAATAATGGTTTAATGTTATAACATAGAACAGAAAGGACAATAAAGTAAAGCAATGGGGAGATGAGGAAATACATGAGTAAGCTCCTGTAAATTGTCATTTTCAACCAAGAGTCAGTCTAACAAATCAGAAACTATTGTTTAATATTCTGCATTGGCCAGGCGCGGTGGCTCATGCCTGTAATCTTAACACTTGGGAGGCCAAGGCAGGTGGATCATCTGAGGTCAGGAGTTCATGACCAGCCTGGCCAATATGATGAAACCCTGTCTCTACTAAAAACACAAAAGTTAGCCGGGCATGGTGGCAGGCACCTGTAATTCCAGCTAGTCGGGAGGCTGAGGTAGGAGAATCACTTGAACCCAGGAGCAGAGGTTGTAGTGAGCTGAGATCGCACCATTGCATTCCAGCCTGGGTGACAGAGCGAGACTCCATCTCAAAAAAAACAAAAACAAAACCAAAAAAAACTGCATCATAATTTTCTATAGCTTTAACTTTCTAGCCATTCATTATATGAAATCTTCTAACAAAAAATATTCTGATAAAAATTTTCTTTCTTTTATTTTCAATATTCCTTTGTTATTATGATTTTAGCTAAAAAGATAAAAGTTATTTGGTTAAAGATAAAAAGTTATTTGAAGCCATTGAAATAAGTTATTTGATATAAGAAAAAAAAAAGAAAGTAAAATATAATGGCCACCTCTTGGTCTTGCTACATGATACCCCCTCCCTGGAGTAACCAATGATAAGAGATGGATGAGATCTATCCACACATATCACTATATTTACAAAACTTATATAAACAGAAATTTACATTCAAAATGTTTTAACAAAAATTAAACTTTAATACTTTTCTTTTTGCTCTGCAATTTGCTTTAAGAAATTACTGCATATTTCATGGACATTGTGTTAGATTATTGCACATACTCTTCTTTCATTCATAGGGCTTTAACAAAATTTATTCAAATATTTTTCCTTTTTAAAAAACATTCCAAATGATTTCAGTTTGGGGCACTTCAAACCCCCCCACACAATTATTTATTTTATTTTTATAGGAGAGATGTTTGAAAGGTGTTAAAAAACTACTCCCATTTTCAGTTGAGATAGATACTATCATTTTAGCTTTCTAAAAGTTTGTAACAATTCATATTCTCTCTAATAGAATAGAGAGTTTCCAATTCCTCACACTATTCCCAAGTCTGGCTTTGAAACAATAGTTAAGGCAGCTTCTATTAACTGATCTAAATATATCAAAGAATATATTAAACAATTCCGCTGAACTCATTGCCATGCAATATCTGACTTTGCTTGGAATTATAAACAAACTTCTGAAGTATTTTAATTTATCTAACTCTAGAGAGAAAACAAAAACACTCATCTACTGAACGTCCCTGGAATGAGGTAACTAGTGTGACAAGAGGGAATCAGGACAAAAGTGGTTTTAGGGATTCTAATATTCTTTCATAATGTGTGCTCATAATAATTCAAACCACATGCAACATAAATAAATTGTTTCAGCAGTGTCTTATTTTTTCTAAGTGAAGTGACCTCCAAATTGTAAAGAAATACTAAAATGTATGTATCTTATTCATATTATCAAAATGGCTATATCAATCAGTATACAACAACACCGAGAGAGGGTTTTATAATACACCTAACCATTCATTATTTTTGTTTTTCATCACAGAGAGAAAAAACATGGTAAGAATTGTATATGTTCTACTTACACTAATTATCAAGAAGAAAATTTTACTTCTGTAAAATGGGGATGTTAATATTAACCTACACTTTTAATACTTGAACTAATTAATGACCAATAAAAATACAGTGTCATGTGTAAACTATTTAATTTTGTAAAAGTATTACATCTAATACAAATGCAATGAAAATATTTGAGCAAATTATGTTTTTCCATAATATTGCTTTTATACAGTACAAATGTATAATTGTAAATTCTTATCAAAAATAAAATTATTAACTATCTCTTTCGGCCATATGAATTTTGACCACATAAGTTACTTAGTTGCTATTGTACTGTATATTTAATGTTTATATTTAGGATTGCTCTATAAAAAACAAATGCTATCACTCATCACATATTAACAATTTTTAGTATTTTGAAAAATTATATTTAAAAACTATGAAAATATTCACAAATTTTTCAAAAAGTTATATGTGCATATATATGTTTTAATTAAATGTATAAGATATTATATATCATAGATACATATATTAGATTTTAATTACATTATGATAAATGATTATTTAATAAATACCTATTAAGAACCATTAGGTGTATGTACCTGGATCAGAGAACTGAATAAAACATGCTCTTTTTGTTCACAGAACATACTTTGTAAGAAAACACGTAAAAAATAATTTTAATAAAATATGAAAAATGCTTTGATAGATGTATGATAATTTCATTAAAGGCTTCATTCTTTACCTTTCTCTGAATCCACATGACTTAGCAGTTTTCTCCATGAAGGTGCAGTACATTTCCTCAACTCATGTGACTTGTTTCATCAATTGGATGAAGTAGAGGGGACAGTATGTCATTTCTGAACCTAGGTTTTAAGAAGTTGTGGATATTTTCACTTGTCTTCATTTGCACTTCTACTACTGTTATGAAGACATATTCAGGCTAGCCTACTGTTAGATGATGTGGTAAGAAATAACAGATGAATCTTATTAGTCTTTCCAGGTGATACCAGCTCACATTCCGTAACTACCATCTGACATTCAGAGACAGGAACAAATCCAGCCAAGATTAGCAGAGCCGTCTAGATGCCTTAATTAATTATTGTTGTCATTGAGGTTTTGTATTTGTTACACAGCATTATTATGACAATGAGTAGCTTATATAATGCCTAGAGAATAATTAAATATTCCTATGTTAGTTGGGGTAAGAGGATAAAAAAGAAATCACGAAGTAGATTAGGGAAAAGACAAGGCATTTCATGTACTATGTACAATATGTCTAAATCCATGACAACACCATATGACTTATTGAGGGACAGGTAAACAGTTTCTTCATGCATTGGGTATTTGGAGGTGAAGGCTAGACTTATAGAAATTAAAAAAGCATAGACATTTAATCATCAGTCAATATGACACAACAAGTAAAAAAATGAAGAATGAAAGAAGTAACCAGATTTTAATTTTAGAAAGATCAGATTATTATTACATGAAATGCAATTGAAAATAGGCAAGGAGAACTCCATAAGCCTCTATGTTATTCTTCTGTATATAGATTACTAGAGTTGGAAGTAAAGCAGCAACAATAGAGATAGAGAAGCAAACAGATGCAAGATATATTAAGAGATAAAATAAACTGGAATTTTTATCTATTAAATAAAAAGTGAAAACATGATTAAGTGACCCTTAGCTATTTATCTCAGTAGCTGAGACAAAAATAAAAGGGTGAGTTCTAGGGAAGGTAGACTCTTATATGTTCATGAAGTCTAAGAGAAGAAACTAGTGCATTCAGTTCTGAACATGATGAAGAGTCCTGGTACATTCAAGTTTACATGCCCATTAACTCCATAGATCTGGAGAAGACAAGGAGATCTGTGATGTGGATATAGATTAAAAAGTAGTTTACACATATAAGAGTAGAAACCGTGTGCTTCTATGAGATGCTTCAATAAATAAGAGATTAATGAAAATAAGTATACAATGGAAAATATAAAAATCTAAGTACTCAATAAGACCTTTTAAATGCCTGTATAAATTGCCCCCCTGCAAGATACTGGGAGACAAAAAAAAAAAAAAAAAAAAGACTGGCTATTAATACTTGTTTTACCTACCATGTTGTAAAATGGTACTCTATTAACTGCACTATACTTATCTATCACTATAAACTCTGCAATGTTGAGAGCATAATTCAAACTTACTCAAATTTAGTGCTAAATTATTTGTCTTCAGCAGTCACTGCTGTCAGTTCTTGTTAGGGAATGGTCTGCAGCTGTGAAGTAGAATAAAGTTACCTGAAAACCACACAAAGTTTCAAGTGCACAGACTTCCTTCCATATATGTTCATTTTAACTATTTAGTTAAAGCCTCTCTTCTTTGACTGGGCCCCCAAATTCACCCTCACTCTCTTTTCTTAGTTTGGTATATTTATAGCACAAGATCAAAAAATGTCCAATAATACATTTTAAACATTTTAAAATATTTTAGATAAACATGTTCCATGTTTCATCAGATTTCCTTTCCTATGCATTGCAGATTCAACCATTAGGCTCTGATTTTTTTAAAGACTAAATAGCCTAGGTGTTCTCAGGATCACGAGAGGGTATGCCAAGGAAGACAGTATGAAACATTTCAGTAATATAAATTTTTGTCCATACACATTTATAGAAAAACCAGAGGAAGCAACCAAATTATATGTAATTTGCCTATTGTCTCTTAAATGGATTTTTATTTACTGTATAAAGGTTGGCTTTCTAGTAGTTCAGTGGTTCTCAATAGGATGAGACTGTTTAGGAAATTTGTAAGGTTGTTTTTCATATTGATGGAACAACATTACTGTCGTTTGTGGATGAGGACCAGGGATGCTGAATATTCTGTAATGCTCTCTGTTGCTCAGGGAATTTAAAAATCTCCACAACCATTATGTAGGCAAAAGTACTTATAATGGGGAAAGGGGATTGAATAGGTATGAGATATTTAGGTTGGCGTCACTATTCTCTATGATACCATAATGTAAGACATTACTTATTTGACTAACTACAAAGCCTCACAGCACAAAGAGTATATCTTAATACATACAAATTAAAATAAAATCATTAGAAGGCCTAGGAATCCCAAGGAAGAATATAAATAAATTTAACTGTATTATAAATATATGAAAGAACCTTAAGGCAGAGGGTGGACGGAAAATGTGCTGACCTAAGTAAGTTAGGAAATAAGTGGAGTCTGTAAAGCAAAAGCCCAAAGAAAATTGCACAACAGCCCTACACTACAGTTGATGGAGTATTTTTTCCCCTTAAGAGGTACATGTGAAAATTATAATACTATACAAGTAGACTAAAATTGAATGATTAAGTTAATGGATGATAATGAGCTCCAGGTTTCTCATTGTTAGAGTCGAAGCCAGAATAATCCATATGGTATGTGCTAATGAATTAGAGTTGAAGATATCACTCTGAACTCATCTTTAGCTTAATCTAGATGCAGATGATTACGTGTGTGTGTGGTGTGTGTGTGTAGACAGGGGACTAATATACACAAATTAGTATACACAAAACTCCTGTTCTGTCATTTGAGAGTGCCTACAAGCAATGGCATCCTAGCAGCAATGAACACAACTAGTATCCTTTTATTGGTTTCTAATACCTTTCTCCACCTAAAAGGAACCAGGGCTCCTTGGAGAAGTGTCCGATTCTAGGACTAAGAAAAAAGTATACACAATGAGCCTGGAGCATATTGTAGTACCAGAAATTAAGAAAAGGCTCAGAAAGCAAAATACAACAAAATCCTACGCTGATGGGAATATGACAAAGTAACATGGGAACCAACTAAAGGAGCCCCCAGTGACCAAAGCTGGAGCAATGTGAGCAGCAAAATAAATAAAGTAGTATGAGATTACAACCCAAAATATAAAATTAGTATCAATATGCTCATACTGCTATATATAAGTAATTGAATAGTTAAATAAGTGGGGGAGAAAAGGCAAATCTACTATGAAGAAGAATTTCAAATAATTTATGTAAATACTTCACCCTTGAAGATGAGGAGCATAAGTCTGTGCTCTTTAAGTGTGGATTGTGCACAGTGACTTCCTTCTAAAGAAGACAATATGGAAAGGGGGTTGAGTGAATGAGTAACTTTACAATGGAGAAAACTATTTGTCTCTTAGTCAGATGATTACAGTCAATATCAAGAGTGATAAATCATGTTAATAGTATGTACTTATGATATGTTGTTTCCTCCCAAAAATCTATAACCGTAATTAAATCATAAGAAAAAATCAGAAAAATTCCAGTAGAATGGCATCCTTCAAAACTGACAAAATATAAAACTGTCAAGGTTGTCAAAAACAAAGTCTGAGAAGTTGCCACAGCCAAAAGGAGTCTAAGGAGACAGGGTTAGATGTAATATGTTATCCTGGATGGAATCCTGAAATAGTAAAAGACATTAGAGAAAAACTAAGGAACTCTGAATAAACTGTAGACTTTAGTTAATTACAATTTCTCAATGTTGCTTTATTAATTGAAACAAATGTACCATGCTAATGTATGTATTAATAATATGGAAAATGGGTGAAGGGTCATATCAAAAAACTCCCTGTACTACCTTTTCAACTTCTCTGTAAATCTAAAAATGTTCTAAAACATAAAGTATATTAAAGATACTTTTAATTATCAGAACCTAAAACATAATTGAGTTAAATTTAAACAAAAATTTGTTTTTCAAAGTTTGAATATGTTCTGATTTATTAAAGATGGCAAGTCCACGAATATTAAGGAAAGATTATGTTGTTTTGTTCAGAACATTATCTGAGTTGCACATCATTTTGTTAAATCACCAATAGCAATATCGCTTGTGGCATTTGATTAGTCAATCTAAAGCACCTGCATCTATCTGCATTTGCAATTGTCACATTCACAGTGATTCTTTCATTATCTGCAAAAATCTGGTGATTTCATTATGTTGACAAATGCCCAAGCATCTACATATATAAAGAAAAATATTTGAATAATAAATTATTTTGTTTTTCCTTAATATTAGTGTGTTATATTGGTAGTTTAAGTACTATGATTCTAGGTAGAGGAGATAACATTTAGATTTTCTTTCAGACTATTGAACGGAGTACTACGTTTCAGGGTAATCCTAACAAAATATCCATTAAAATGAGAGGGTATGTCTAGAACTGAGTTCTGTGCTTAATGACAAACGTATACAGTAGGAAATGATGGCAGTAGAGATAATCTGATGATCAACTTATTTCTTTTCAAGGGACCCTCAACATATTAAGACCTGTGTGCTATACAGGGTTTAGACACTGTATCTAATAATAAATAATGTATAATTATTTTAACTAACATAAAAGTTAAACTAAGCATTAGGTAAGTTAAGTATGCCTGTTTGGCAAAACAATTATCTGATTGTAAAAGTTTAAATGTACAACAGAAATTATGAAATTTGGAGGTAATTATAATACAGAGTAGTGTGTTGGCTTGTATCATGTTTTTCCTCTTCTAAGGAGAATCACTTACACCCTGACAACTTGGAGACAATGTTGAAAGAACTTTATAATTAGGAAGAAGTCGGCTGTGAGGTCATCTGGTACAGAGATTCTTAAAAAGGAATGTGTATATGAATTTTCTAGAGCTCATGTAAAAATGCAGAGTTGGGTCCAATAAGAGTTAAGTGAGGCCCAAATTTCTTCGTTCAGGTGTTTCCGATGCTGCTGGTTACACAGGTTCTTTCATCACACTTGGAGGTGCCAGATCTTTATTTTGTGCAAAATGGATAGAAGTCTGATGTCAAAGACAAGATTTCATTGGATCACCCTCTGCCCTGAGGAAGAACAGTCATCACTCTAGGATATGGCAGTTAACATTTTTGTCAGCAATTTATATGACAAAAGAATCAGGCTGACAATGATGGCAATTTGCAGAGCAAGTAGCTAGAACCTTTAAGAAAAGAAATTCAAACTGTCATTTACCAAGAGGAGCAATAAACAAAAAGTTGACCAAAGATCAACAAGGGAATTTCTACAAAAATATGTCTTTAAAGATATAAAAGTTCAGATTGGCAGAATGAGATGCTAGGGTCATGGCGGGTCACTATGTTGAAAGCACATTGTGAGAAGCAGTGAAGCCAATAGTGTGCATGCATAGCCACCTAGATAAAGCTGTAGAACTGTCTGCATCCCCAGAGCACAGACCACTGGCAGTGCAGTGTTCAGTTTTGAAGTTCACAACTGCAAAAGCACTTGGAGGATGCAGGAGTGAGTGAGAAGGGAATACTTCATAAGATAGCACTGGTTGCAGGGAGGCTGAAATAGAAAGTTATGAGACAGTTAATTAAAATATAAGTAGAAATTTGTTTTAAAGCAACTGGACAAATCTAACACACATGTAATTGTGGCGGTTTTCATTATTGGCCCTCTTTCTTGTTCCTGGGAACTTGTACCAAGTTATTCATTTAAGGTCTCTGTCTGGAATGTCACTTCTCTCAATAATTGGTTGTCTCATTTCTTTATTTCATTGAGGTCTGTGATAAACTATCATACCCTCAGGAGACTTTCTCTGGCTATGCTACCTAAAATAATGCCCCATTTTACTCACTCTTTTTCTATCATACTGTATCATTCATGAGTCCCTCTGATTTTACGTGTGTGGGTATGTGTGTACATCCACACATACTTACTTACTTATTTTTTGTTGGCTATTTTCCCCACTTCAATACAAGCTTTATGACAGCTGAACATTGTATTTTGTTCAGTCTAATCTCTTTTTAGTCTAAGAGAGACTAACACATAGCGGTTATTCAATAAATTCTTGTTGACTAGTGAATGAGTGAATGTATCTGTGCTTTACTATTGACCAAATGATATTGCAAGTTAATCACAATATGAATTGTTGAAAGAATATGTCAAATAGTCATGGGATCTATCATCAGTGTACTCTTAGTAGGAGGACAAGTTTAAGTTGAATAGTAATCATTTAGCTGTCTCAAAATAATTATGTCATTGACATTATTTTCTTTTATTGCATAAATAAAAAGTTTGACCCCAGCAAAGCTGGGAGTGGCGAGAGCTCTCAGGGTTATATATGATAGTATTCCACGAGAGCCCAAATTATAAACATGCACATATATTAGGAAGCTCTTTTCAGAGCAAGTGTTTCATATTTGAACACTCCCTTGCTGTTCCTAGGCATAAGAGCTGTATCCTAACTGCACTGCTGAATTTGGGCTTCCTGTGGGGGCACGGCAAGTGCCCTCTTTGAGAGTGAGGAGGCTGAGAGTCTCACACCAACAGGAATGAGTGCTTTGAAATTAACTGGTGTTTGGAAATTGATCTGGTAGGTAATAATCTTCTATATCTAACTTGTGATTTATTCTAATTTTAAATGTTTAACACATACCTTCTGAAGCACAGATGACTTCTGTAGTTGTGCAATGCTAGGCCTGGCAACCACTTTGTAGATTTCTCCCTTTGAAACTGACTTATTTTGTGTGTTAGCCATACTAATACAAACCTCCTATTGTGTGTTTTGTATTTCAAATTTTATTAATTTTTAAAGATACATAATTAATAAATTCTCATAAATTGAGTACATCAATAAATCCACAGAGGAGATGTATGTATTAATTGTAATCTTATATAAATTTGCAGTCTTGTAAATATGATTAGTGATAATTTTTTTTTAAAGAAAAGATGAAAACTAAAAAATCCAAACAAACAAAATTAACTACCGAGAAATGGTCAAGCCTATTTCTGCTTTTCCAGAAATCTCTTTCATTTACTTATTACTATCAATCTGCAAATGGTCATAGGTTTTCCAAATGATTTGTTGTGTTTGTTATTGCTTGCTTATTTTCTAAATTTGCCTCATGTTGTTTCTTTTGTGAGAAGTGGGTTTATATCAAGTAATCTCCATCAATCTATGGGTTCCAAAACATGAACTTGGCCTTTCATACAGGAATGCACGGATTTTAGTGGCATGTTGTTAGTGTTTCCCATTGAAGTAAAATCCTGGCAAAGACGCTAGCTAAGATTCTAAAAGAGAGACCTCTCTGTTAATATGTTCAATCTTCAAAGGAAGTGATGGGTGAAGGAAAGAAACAAGCACATCAAACTCATAAATGTCCAGTATATCAGTCGCAAAAGAAAGACAGAAATGTATTATATTTTTAGAACATAACCTATGTCTACTGCTCAGAAATGCAGCCAGGCTTGAATAGATGGAATGTATTTTAAAAATCACTGTAAAAATCTGTATATTTGCCACCAAGTGGAATGTTTTAACAAACAATACGTTGATTAGATTCAGGGTCAGCTGTCATTTTACTAAGAGGAACAATAAAATAGAAAGTGACCCAAGAAAGATCAACAAGGGAATTTCTACAATACTATGTCTTTAGAGATGTAAAATGTTGAGATTGGCAGAATGAGACCTTAGGGCTGTGGTGGGTGACTATGTCCAAAGCACATTGTGAAAAGTGGTGAAGTCAATAGGGTATATGCTTTGGAAACAATAGCTTAATAGAAATTACTTGATGTAAACCCACTTCTCACAAAAGCAGCAACAAGAAGGCAAACAATGTCATTTAAATAGATATTAAAAATGATAATAGATTATTTAAAAGTTCATCTCTTCATCAATGAGTGGTTCAGATGAGTTCTAATATATCCCAGAAATATGTCTTCTTTAGGGATCATCATCAAGTTGAGACAACTAACAATCCTATTATATCAGGAAAAGGATGAGTTTTCTTCTCCTAAATAACCAAACACAGCCAATGTATTAAAAGAATTAATCATTTCATACAGGAAAAAACGGTGAATTTATTTTCATTTAGACAAAATAAAAACAAACACAGTCTATGGAATAACATTTTCATTATTAAGGTGGCTTAGTTGATAACACAGAGAAAAATATTTGGGATCCAGTTTCTTCAACCACAAATGTATATAGTCTATGCTTAAATTCTTGTATTTAGAATGAGAGTTATTCTACTTTAGAATGAGAGTTGTTTACCTAAGTCTTGAGATAGAAACTGCTATTATTATTATTTTCAGATGGAAACTGCTATTATTATTATCTTGAGATAGAAACTGCTATTATTATTATCTTGAGATAGAAACTGCTATTATTATTATCATGGTGCCATTTTTACAAACAAGGAAGTCATCAGAATAATCGCCATTTGTTTCAGTTATCTATTGCTGTGTAACAAACTGCAACAAACCCTAGTGGCTTAAAATAATAACTATTTATGTACCAGTGACTTTGTATTTAGGGCTGGCTCAGCTGGGTGATCTTTTCTGCTTTTGTCTTGTGTTACTCATGTGGAAGGAGTCACTGGAGGTGCAACTGGGGCTGGAGGATCCAAGATGGCATCGCTCATGAGTTTGGTTGTTAATGTGGGCCATTAGTAGGAAGTCTATAATCTCTTCCACATAACTCCTTTGATAGGACAGCCCAGGTTTCATACAACATGGCAGTAGTGTTACAAGAGCATTAGCATGGAAACTGTCCAAGCCTTTTTAGACTTAGGCTAAAAGTCACGTACAGTCACTTCCTCTCATTCCATTGGTCTAAGCTGTTTACAAGGCCAGCCCAGATTCAAGGGGTTGAAAAATAGAATCACTTCTGATGAGAGGACTGGAAATGAATTTGTGGTCATGTTGAATCTTCCCAATTTCTATTTGCTTTAATACAAAATGTTCAAATATCTTATTTTGGAAAATTTAAACTCACACCATAAAAAAATGGGACAGAGTATAATATTATTTATTTATTGTATAGCCCCTAGTGTGCTTCAAGCACTAAAAAGTGCTTGGAGATTTTATTCATTGGGAGGAAAATATATGGGAAAGCATTGTTATCTAAAAACAGTACCTGGCTTGCAATTAATTAGGTGTGAGTTGATCATTTTTCAATAGCCTTAATGACAAATATTAATTATACAATAGTAATTGTCACAGAAAACTAGATTTTAATGACTCTATAACTATTTCTCACAAGTTTGTAATAGGCTTTAATATAATGCAAGGAAAAGCCTCTGATTTTAATGTGCATATGAAGGATCTTGATAAATAATGCAACTTATTACACCTAAATCTTTGAAATTTTCTATTGGACGGCTGATGCAGTTGGTATCTGGACTGCATTTTTAAAAACACTGATTTAAGAAATAAGCTCATCAGAAGACAATCCCCAGAAATATAAGTAATAGGAACAGGTGTTAAAACAAACGTGTTTTGACTGGTAGATGGTATATTTAAGAGATTTCTCGGTTAAATCTATTACTATTATTATAAAAATCAGTCATAAAAATTTAAAAACGATTCATGCTTTTGGTAAGAGATAAAGCTAGAAGATGGGCAAAGTTTTCTCTCCAACTTTGTAAATATGAGATTTGAGGGAATAATAATAAGAAACTGAAATTAGCTCAGGTTGTGAAAACTCACTTTCCTATCATATGAATCACTTAAAACCAGGACTTTGTTTTATTTTCTGAGTTTCATTATTTGCTGATGAATAAATTATTATTTATGGAATTTAGGGAGATAAAGTGGTAATTTTCGAAGACATAAATTACCAAATATAAAAACGTCTCCAAGTTTAAGCAGATGTTATATCCATAAATCCTCCCAATGAGTATAGGAATCAAAGTAGTCCAAGTTCAAGCCATGTTTGTGACATGCCATATGGACAGCAACAAGCAAGTCCAGAAGCCAAGGTTAGTGAATGAAAAAATAAATAAAGCTTTAAGTTGGAAATCCTATAACTTTGGTGGTTTTTATCTCCTTTGGGCTTCACGAACATCATTATAACATGTTAATTATCCCAGTGTTTGTGTTTACATTTAAATGGCAAATAGTGGTATTTCTTGCCACTTTTTTATTTCATTTCATTATAATCAATAATCACCCAAAACGTTTACATTGCTATTCTTAATGTTCTTGGAAATTAACATAAAATGCCACCATGACTCAAAAGGTGTCAATAATTATCTTTTCTAGTAGTGTTCTATTTATACATTGTATATGAAAGTTGATTTTCAGAAAGGCTTTATTTTCTGTGAAACAGAAATGCTGAGTCTCTGTAACCAAAACAGGCAGTGCTTTCATGTACCTTAATATATTTAAATACAGCCTTAAATAGGTCATTCTCTCGATTTTGAATTTTAGTGTTAGACATTTAGCATGACAGTCAAGTTCTTGGGAGACTTGGGGTTAAAAAATACACATAGCCGTTTACATGAACCTTAAACAAACTTGCAGCAGCATTTTTCTTTCAGTCGACTGACATTTTTCTTTATGTTTCGTCAGTTATATCTGAGTGATCAGACAGCCACTACACGTGGTACACCCACCAGGATTATTATCTAGACCAAAGGCCCAAAGCTCATTGTAGCAAGCATGTAATTCTTTACAATGTATGCCACGTTAACTGTGTTGGGTTATCTATTCAACAGCTGACTGAGCTGGGCTCTCAAGCTCTTCTCGACAACCATGTAAGAAGCGATGACAATTGTACTACTTCATAACAGCTGCATGGAACTCTGACACACACTTCACAGCAACCAGTCATCTATATAAACCAATTTCAGGAGCAAAATTGCATGGTGCCTCCACTCTGTTATAAACACAATGATATCCACTCAAAGCTGATAAATGCACTACATTTCTCTGCAGCTTAAAAGAATAAGTTCCTTGCATCTGAGATTTCCTTCCCACAAATTAAGTCATTTTTTTTGTCCTAGCCATTAATTTAAAACTTTAGAAAGAACAAGACCATTTAGATTTTGAATACCCGTAAAATAAAGAAATTTCAGTCTTAACATTTTGGTTCTCCAACTAAATACACTTTCAATTTTTTTTGGAATATCTCTGCCAGACTTTCCTAATTGATGATCTGAAGGAGAAAGCAAAAGGAAGAAGTAATTAAGGTTTAAAATACTTACCACTGCCATAGCAATTCACCAGTTAATTACAATATCTTTTCATAGGATTATACACAATACAATTCTTATTATTGAATAAAACATCTACAAGCAACCTGGAAACTATTGTTAAAACTTAAATCTTAACTACCCTGTGTTTGGTGAATAATAAAGCTTTGGTGAATCCGTTAATAATTCCAATAGAGTCAAGTAAGATAAAGAGGTCACTCATATTTTTAAATACACTCTTGTATTACCAACACACATTTTTAAATTAAGGTTGAAAAGACATGGGTAAAAATTATGTACAGTTTCAGATAAAAAAGACAGACACCCAATTTTTTCATGTTGATAACAGTGACATATATTGTGTATATATATGAGCATATATGAGTACATATATACATATATATTATGAGAATATATGTGTATATACATATATGTATATATCCTCATTTATATATGTATAAATATGTCTATCATGTATACACATATATCCTCATAATATATATCTGTATATGTACTCATATGATATATATGTATCTATGAGGATATATACATATATGTATATATACATATATCCTCATAATATATATCTGTAAATGTACTCATATACACTCAATATAAACATATATACATTATGAGTACATAGTCATAATCATTTCAGATATTAGAAAATGTGTATACATTTATTTTTTCATTTTCTTTATTCTAACAATTTTACAGGAAGTCAGAGGAATAGAATATTTGAGCAGAGAGAACAGCAAACGTACTTCATAGGACACATATTTTAATAAATTATAATTTATTAATATGTTGAAACTTAATTACAGAGACAAACTCTGCTGTGTCTAGTGGAGTTTACTGCTGAACAAATGGAAGGACTATATTATTGTACTACTTAAACTATACGATCTTATGGCATAATATTCAATGAGTGTCCATTGTCAATATGTTAATGTACACTACCAGTGGACTTATAATTTCTGGCATTAGTTAAGAACTTTACAACAATAACTTAAAATGATAAATGTTAGTTTCAGAAGTGAGTCTCATGTGAGCTTCACTGCTTTAACAAAAGTGTGAAAACAAGTGATCTAATAAATGATTTTCCACAATAACATGTCAGGGTCTGATTGTGTATCAATTATTTTTTTCTTATTCAATCTCTCTGACTACTATGGTCATCTTCAAATGGGAACATCTTAAGGCATTTCAAGTTATTTCTTAGGATGACATGGATAATTAAGTCATAGCACAAGGAGAAAGAACCTGGTTCCTCCCATTGATTCAGGGTTCTATCCACTGCACCATGCTTTCTTTAAGGGACTATTAACGATGAAAAATGGAGACCTAAAGAAACAAAGACACTTAATATTCAAGTAAAAAAATTAGGACAGACAATTATTTTCACTCCCATGCAGCCATTGTGTTTTCTACCATGGCAAGCATCTTTTACCCAAAAAACGATTAAGGAATTAATTTGAAGGAATATATTATTTTCTCATAGAATCCAATGGTTGGCAGATGGTTGGACCCCTCAAAAAATTGAACTCCAGAACTATGAAATCAAAACCAACAAGTAATCTTTCAGCCTTCTCTTTGTCTCTGGATATGGTTGTTGCATTAGCGTACAATAAGCCTCCACATTAATGTTCAGGTTATATAGGCTGTTGGGAAAATAATACAAGTGGGGAAGAGAATGGTAAAGCTGGATGACTTGAAACTCAAAAGAGGAAGGAAAGTTTTTCACAGGTCTAAAAGCAATCATCTAAGAGTCCCCATCCCCAGGAGTAATTAAAAGAATGAGTTTTACTTTGTTCCCAGCAAGTAGATGGCTAATTGTTGCACAAACTACAGGTTGCACATAGTTGCAATACCTGTTGCACAGAGAGTTATTCACCTCTATGTGTTACACAGGCAAGACGAGTAGCAACTACACAGGTAAGACACAGGGGGAGTGGAGTAATTTAAAAAGAGTAGGATTCTTATTAAAGTTAAGGAGTAGAAGAAATACTTCTTGAAAAAATTAAGACAAAGGGAGTTTTACAGTTAGACTGATTAAAGTTTGAGGAATTTAGGAAAAAAAGGGTTGGGAGAAATGCAGGCTGTGGGTAGAAGACTTGAGAAAAAGCAACACAGAGAAGTATTGGAAAGATAATTACTGATTGGTTGGGCTAATATTGTGGCCAAACGCCACAGATGACAAGGATATGAGGCATGGTTGAATTTATTGCCTTTGAGATTGTGAGCTTGTGTAAACTAGAAATTGTTAAAGGCTTCATGAAGTAAGCAGACTGTTCAGCATTCAAACAGACGTTGTTCAGATAATGTTCTGCTTATTATTGAATAGAGCATCCTTTCATCTTCCCCGCCATGATTTTGCACAGACTAAAGAAATATAGAATAGCTTGGAGGAAATGGCCTTTTGCAGATGTTTATTGCTGTGACTCTCTGGCTTACAGTAATTTCTTAAATATCCCTGTGTTCCATTGCATTTTGTTTTGCAGTTGCTATTCTCGATTATTTATTTGACTAGGTATTGTGTTTTAAAAATACATTGTGATAATAACACAAAAAGAAAAGATGCAGAGGTATTTATAGTAAAAAGAAATTTCCTCTTCCTATGATCTGCCAGCGCAGTGCATGTTGTGGTGTGCTGCATTCCACCACCCATCCTCTTCCCCTTGCAGGACTGAGACATCCATCTCCACAGCTGCTGCGGGAATTGACAGCTGAAAACTCTCAGCTGAGTTTATCTCATGGACTTGCCCTGAGTTGATGAGAGCCACCTTACTCAAAGTTCCATTTCCCCCTGAGAGCAGCCTGCATTTAATGTGGGGGCTATAAAGACCCAGCTCAGTCCCCTTATATCACATTAGGACAATCTAAAGGGCGGGCTTTCTCAGTGCCATTGTTTCTTGTGGGATCTAGTGAAACCTGTTATTTTTGTGACTCATCTATAACTTCTGCCTTTGACCAGTTCTGTTTTTCTCACTCCCTTATAGATATTGCCCTGAAGAGCACTTCTTTCTTTCTCTGTCTCAGTGTCTGTTTCTAGGACAACTCAATCAAAAACATCTAATACCACACTTACCTTTCAGAAACAACCATTACTAGCCATTGTTTCAAAAATATATATATAAAAAGATTTCAATTAAAAGGATCTTTCCTCAGCAAATACAAACAATGGTGTATAAATCACAAAAGAGGAAGGTTACTTTATAAATATGTGACTATAATTTTAAGATAAATTTTTCCAGTAGAATTACTTGGTCAAAGGGTATGTCCATTTTAAATTTTAAATATAGTGCTTTTTAAAGAGATTGTAGTTTCCCAGAGCCGACCTTTTGAGTTTGGCCAAGCTCTAGGTGAAAAATTGTTCTTATTGTAATTTTATTTTGGATTTCTTTCACTGTAAGTAATTTTTACACAACTTTTAATATAATCATTTATATTTTCTTGCTGTTAGTAACTGAGTATAAATTACTTTATTGTGTTGTTGATCTTTTTCTAACTAATATTCTGAATCTTCTTTTTATGTTAAAAAAATTTAAACTCTGATGTGTCATTTAAGTTACAATATTTACCTCTGACTTTATTACATTATGTCCAAAGTTTTAATTGTTTATGCATTTATAGTTACCAATTTTTTTCTTTTGTATCTTCTGATATTTGTTTTATAAATAAAAAGGATTTTGCCACTGTGAAATTATTTTTATTTCTAGTATATATTCTTTTAGTCCTTTTATAGATTTTTGTTTGTTTGATAAACTGTGATACAGTTTGAGGTATATCTTGAGATAATGATCTAACTCTACTACTGAATTTTATTTGCTAATTTTTGGGGGATTTGTATACAAATATTTATATATAAGAATATTTGATATGATCTTTTGTGTATTCTTTTTGTCAGTTTTATCAATGTTATGTCATTTATCAGAATATTAATTTATTTCTCTATTTCTCTATATCTGATTCATATGAGTTTTGGCTTTTAAAGGTTTGGTATAATTTCTCTGTGAGGCTAAATTTGTTGGCCTGCTACTCATTTGAGGATAGCTCTTTAACCACAATCTGTATTTCTGATATTGGTTCTTATCTCCCTAAGTTATTTATTTATTTTTTTTACTCTCTGAGTTCTCATTTGAATATTGCTTATTTACTTTAATTTTCTCTATCATTTTTCCCTGAGTAGCATTTCTTATGTCAAATATGTGTGTCTTTTTTAGTTCATTTTTAATTAGGTTGGCTAAATGTTTATATTTTGTTGGTTCTTATTAAAAGGAAAAACTGTTAGATTAAATACATGAATTATTTTTCTATATTATAATATTAATCTTTGCTTTCTTCTTTACTGATTCCTTTGGTTTTATTCTTCTAGCTTCTTCAACTGAGCCTTACTTTATTTTTTATTCTTACTTGTGTATCAAAAATTTTAACTTTTTGTGAGCATTGTTTTAATTGACCACAAGGTTTTGATATGTATGTTTATATTGTTATTATAGTCTAGATATTTTAAAGCTATTGTTTTGATTAAGTATTGGCCCAACAGGTATTGCAGAGATGGTTGTTTTCATTTCCAATTGGTAGGCTAGGGCTTAATATTGTTGCTGTTTACTAATTAGTCTTACCAGGAAGTGGCTGAGTATTGATTGCTTTGCATCTTTTTTGCTTTTAGAATAAGATATGCCATTTGAATTTATATATTCAGGTTTTCTATATTTTCTGGACATTTTTGCAACATATTACTTTTCTGTTTCTGTTTCGTTTTTCATTTTCACAAACATTAAATATGAGTTAACTACTTTTTCCATTCTCTCTATATTATTTTCTCTAATCTTTTTTTTTTTTTTTTGAGATGGAGTCTTGCTCTGTCGTCCAGGCTGGAGTGCAGTGGCACGATATCGACTCACTGCAAGCTCCGCCTCCCAGGTTCATGCCATTCTCCTGCCTCAGCCTCCCGAGTAGCTGGGACTAAAGGCATCTGCCACCACGCCCAGCTAATTTTTTTTTTTTTTTTTTTTTTGTATTTTTAGTAGAGACAGGGTTTCACCGTGTTAGCCAGGATGGTCTTGATCTTCTGACCTCGTGATTCACACGCCTCGGCCTCCCAAAGTGCTGGGATTACAGGTGTGAGCCACCACACCTGGCCTCTAATCTTTTAAAATCCTTGTTCATTTGCATTTTATTTCAAATCTCTTATCTGTTGTCTACCACATAATTATAGATTTTTAAATTTTGTTTTTCAGAAATGAAAATCTATTCTGAACTGCTTTCACTATGGGCTTCATTACATCATACTTTCTCTCTCTGCCTTTCTAAGTAATGCCTTTAGTTTAAAATCACACCTCTTGTACCTCCAGTTTGGACTTTTATTTTATAAAGTCAGATACTTCAGTATTTTTATGTACTTATTTAACTCGCAGCAATATTTGTGGTTGTACTTGTTTGTTCTTCTTTATGGCAATGTTTTCCTAGTACATGTCCCTCTTTTACTATTGTCCCTTAGTCTTGCTCCGATTTTCCCTAGCAAGGTCTTTTTATATTGTGCCAGCTACTTTCTGATTATTATTCTGCAGATCCTGTGTTCATTTCTTTTTTCATAATTCATCTTTTAATAAATTCTTCCTTGACAGGCTGTTTGCAGGACGTTCGTGTAGAGAAGGGGCCAAGGACATGTTCCGGAATAGCTGGAAGTTTTCTCAGGACACACACTTTTTACTTTACTTTTCCAGAGCTGTATACAGTGTCAGTTGTAAGCTTCTTCCCAATGCAGGGTTCCTCTCTCTTCCCCTGCTGCACTCTCATGATGCTTCTGAAAATATCATTCTCTGTGAAATTCATTCCTGATATCCCTGCTTCCATTTTATGCTAAAGGAGGTGACAGCACACACATCCATTCCATCATTCCAAACCGTAGTTTGGTTTGCCTTTTAGTGTGAACCACTCTTTTAGAATAACTCTGCTCTGCCACTTTGAGATTTGCTTCTGTTGGTATCTTCACCTATTTCTCACTTTCCTTCTATTTAATTTCTTCATAAATTGTAGTTTCAGGAGATGGTGATCTTCTAGTTTGTTCAGGAAAAATATATGGTTCTGTTTCTTGTTCTGGTTATTTGGTGAGTATTTCTAAGAAGGAGTTTTTTTTTCTTCCATCTTAAGAAAAGAAATCTCTACTCGATTTTGAAATGCACTGTTGGATTTTGCTCTGATTATTCACATATTTAACTTCATAATTAGAATTTATTTCTAAGATTTCATGTCTTGCAATTCATGGATAGTGGCCAATAGATTGCCCTGGAACCAAAAGCTACCCTGGGATCAACATGACTACAGATACTTTACCAGATAGGCAATTGTTGTCAAGATAAAAGAAATGTTCTTTTCAGCCCTAGAATCTTCACATTGAAATACACAAAATTCAGACCTTCCTAAATACTGTAAGATATTCAGTGTTATTTTCTAAATTGAATCATTTTTAAGAAGACCACTATACTTCATTAGAAATTGAAACTTGAAAAACACAAAGAATGCAAGTTCTGGAATGATAGTTACCAAATATACCAAAACATAAGCATTTGAAAGTATTCTTAACTATTTTACATCCAGCTTATTTCAAAGTGAATATTTAGGTGCTGAAGGGAAAAGTAACCTGAATTGTTTGTCAGGATGATATACTGAAGAAAATCTGCAAAAGATTTCTATGCCATGATAAGAAATGGTCAGTGTTCATTTGTTCTGAGTTTGTTCCCAAGTGGAAATAGCTCATCTTTGATGCATAGCTTTTGTTTTCCTCTAATTATTGATTCTGTGCATGACCTCTGGAATTGATACCTGTATTACAACACATAATTTTTGGAGGGTGGGGGTAGTGGTTTCATTTTTATTTTGTAATAAACTATGTGACAGCTATGTCTTTCATTAAGTATTTAACATAGGCAAATGACCTAATCTATTTCATCATCTAGATTATGATATTATCTAAGTTCCCTGGGAGCCCTAAATTGATATGTCTCTATGATTCTAAGTAAATCCAGTTATTTCCACTAAAACACGAATATTCCAATTTGGATTATTAGAACCATATGGTTTGAATATTAGCGTTTTGGCCCATATATAACTCAAAATCCATTCCTCTCTTACCAATATGTGCTAATTTACATTTCAAAACAGAGTGATATTTTAAAATCCTAAGATATTGCAAAAATAGGACATAACTGAACCAAACTCTTTCTAAATTGAAAAAGATAGGTAATTCAAAATGAGAAACACTTTAAAGTTTGGGTTCAATCAAAGTAATATATTTTTCCTTTCATAGAGTAATATATTATTTCACACCAAAATCATTACCATGTATCAAAATGCTAGAAACTATAATTTTGATGTGCTCTGGTATTCCTATACTGGATAATATTTTACCTGGTTATAGTGTTAATGGGATTTTGTGTCAATATATGTTTTAGTGAAGGCATTGTCTTTCTAGTTGGAAAAATGAAGGGTTTGAGATGGCAAGTTTTTTTTTAATAAATAGAAAATCTTTCTATAAAGTTTTGAAGGAAAAGACTCTAAGAACTATACATTTATAATTAATGTCTCGGCACTGTCCCTGATGCTTTGGCTTTGCAGCTCATATCATTTCTAAGTATCAGCCAGAATAAACACTGGCTTTGTTATAGGGCAGGCTGATATAAAGAGCCATATGTGCTCCAATGACACAGCACAGGGAGACAGACAAAGGCCTTGTCTATAAATCCCTTTTTAAAAAAATTTAGATTGCTCCCTGAACCTACTTTAATCCCTTCTAGTTTATTTAAATTAGTTCTTCCTGCCAGCCTGTACCTGCCAAATAAAACATCCCAATCAAATGTCTAGCGTGCAAAGCAGAAAGGTTTGATCTGATCCTGAAAGACTTTTGTTCTATCCCATTTCTATAACCATACTACCTAATTAAATTATATAAAACCTTTACTAAGACAAGATAGGTCAGGTACCTGAAAGAAGGAGGAAAAGAGAGTCAGTCAATTATTATAACCAAACTGGCTTTCAGTGGCATAAAACCTCATCAACCTGCTATCTCTGCCACTGACAGGTCCTCCCAGGCCTTTGGCATCTGATACCATCAGATTATCTGCTGGTTGCTTGAACCTGAACACATTCCTTTCCAAGATCTTGAAGTTAAGTTGCACAGTGAATGCACTATGGCTTCCAAAGTCTTTCCACTGTAACATATTTAGTTAATGAACACAAACTCTTAGAGAAAGAAAGTGATAGGAAAATAAGGTGCATCTAATATATGAGTAAATGGTCCTCTAGGCATATCTTGCATAGAAATAGTAAAGTTATGATTAATAGGTTATCTAATGCATTAACAAAGGCACAAGCCAGCATAGTTCAATACTATCAGATTTGCAAAATGCATTGATTTTGAAAGAGTTGCTAGGGTCTGTTTAGCCTTGAACAACTCTGGTTATGAAGCTTATGGTTGGGTGAAAAGTGGACAACTTCTATGTGCTTAAATATTCTTAAAAAATATAATTATGTATGGTCATTTCTAAATATACAGAAAATCTGTATGTCCTACACTTTTCAATAACATAACAATTAAAACAAGTACTAATGATATTCCTGAAACACAATATGAACCCAATCTCTATCTCACCCCACGTTGAGTCTATTGTTCTCTAAATGCTTCTAAATCTCTATGAGCTATTGCTTCTTAGTATTGCAATGAATAAAGAGAAATAGACAATTTATTCTTACAAGATCTATGAGGAACTGCAGTTACTAAAATGTTAATGCATAATGAGGAAATTTTACAGTTGATCTGGTCAACCACAAAAAATATTTATTTAGGAAAGTGATTAAAAGTAACATTGCCTAGCAATTAATTTATGGTTATTCCACAGTTTGGTTCTCCTTTTTTTTTTTCTTTTCTTTTTTTTTTTTTTTTTGAGACAGAGTCTTGCTCTGTGGCCCAGGCTGGAGTGCAGTGGCAGCGATCTCGGCTCACTGCAAGCTCTGCCTAGTAGCTAGGACTACAGGCACCTGCCACTACGCCCGGCTAATTTTTTGTATTTTTAGTAGAGATGGGGTTTCACCGTGTTAGCCAGGATGGTCTCCATCTCCTGACCTTGTGATCTGCCTGCCTCAGCCTCCCAAAGTGCTGGGATTACAGGCCTGAGCCACCACGCCCGGCCCATTGTTTTGGTTTTCTATTGCAATGATTTCTTCTGCTTCTACTCTCATATTTAACCACAAGTTTAGCAAAGATATACTGGTATTGCAGTTGCAGATATGGCTACAACATTTCAGGACATTTAAAATATTCTTATAAGCAGACAGAGGTGAAGCAAAAGGACATAAAGCTGAATAGGTGTTTCATTTTCAGACTTAAGAATGCAGAGTCTCTACCGGCGTTTTTCTATTTTAATATTCTTAGTAGGTTAAAAACTGGGCACTGATACCCAAAACACTAGAAAAACTCAGTAATGATTAATGAATAAAATTCATACTTTTACTCTAAATAAATCTTTATCAAAGATTTACAAAACATAGTGAACTTCATTAGCTGTTAACTTTTAGTCCATCAAAACAGAGTGTTTATGACAAACTTTGCTTACTATAACTATAACATATGTTTATTCCATAGTCTTAGAATAAAGGTTATATTATTCGTGGAGAAGCAATGGGCTTTCACTGATAATGCATCAGAAAAGATAGTAGCAAAGAAAAATATTATAGAACCTTAAAATGAAATAACACATTATCATAAACAAGGTAAATTTTTTTTCCGAGTATATCCAAGCTTTCCTATGTAACCTAAGACTTAACTTTAGAAAGATTTTACTGGGTATTTTGGAGAAGTATACTCAAAGAAAAATGACTTATCTCCACAGTGGCTCTGCTACCTTCTCTTACCTAAGCACTGGTAATTGCCTTCTAAAATCCAAGAAATACATGATCTTGAACTTCACCCTCCCCAAATTTGCCCTACATGAGCATCATTTTGATTTCTTCTTTCCATCAAGATTTCCAAGCTTATATCCGCTTATATCCTCCTTTTTCTTAATGTAGCATGAAATTTGATGACTCTGTGGCTTTAGTGACACCGTATCCCCTGCTTAAACACCACTCATTCTCTCGCCCAATAGGCAAAATCTATTTTTCTTCAAAGACTCAACTCAAATGTCACCACCTGTAATGAGAATGTCCTCCAATCAGAGTCATTCAATATTACTTCATTTAGATTCCAATTATGAGACTTCATCTCACTTTTTCACATTTTATTTTAATTGTGTATGTTCTCTCTCCCCTTCTATGGGAGGTGGAATAATGTAGTAACTTCAGTCAATCAAACTTGTATATGAATTCCAGCTTCCCCAACTCTTAGTTTTGTGGATTTAGACAAATAAATCAACTTTGCAGAGCCTCAGTTTCTTCATATTTAAAATAGGAATAACAATATTGGCCCAATATATTTTCAGAGAGATTAGATAAAATCAAGTATGGAAAATATTCAGCATGCTGTCTGAGATATTATGCAATTTAGATGATGACTATCATAAAGTCAGGTTCTATGATTTACTTATCCTTATGTTTCAAATGCCTGGACTACTATCTTGCATATATGTCTGACTCATTCAACTTCTTAGAAGCCTAAAAACTCTCCCAGAGAATTTAAGAATTCCCACCCATGCTCATGAAATACACCATAACCCAGAAAAGGAGAAACATAATGTTAAGCCATTGGATAGATTTTCTGGAGGATAAGAGAAAAGCTCAAGTACATACATCTACATTTTCAAATGCCTCACTCTACTACAGGGTTATCTGTAAATAAATTAAGCGGTCAATGGAAATAACACTAAATTGCGACAGAAAGAATTATGCCTTATTCCTGACTTTGTCATTTCAGAACTCTGTGATGTGCTGTAATTCCAGACCCTCTCAAAGGCCCTGTTGTTTTCATCTATAAGATGGGTATTACTGCATATCCCTTGACATAGGGTATTTGTTAATAGGATTAGATGATAGTCATAAATATATCTGGCAAACTGAAAAAGAAAAAAATGGCTTTTGAGGAGAAACTCACTCAGTGTTGTATTCAAGTTTTCAATACTTAGTAGCAAGTAATGGAGAATGTTTCCACAATTGTAAGTATAGATAATATCTACCTTGCAAAGGAGCTTGGAGCATTAATGTTAATATAAAAATACTTCATGTTTCATAGTAATTGCTCAAATGTTCTAATATGTATCATCATAAGATATTACTTTATTATAAAGAATATACTAGCAATACAAAAATAAATATAACAACCTTGATATTTTAAGTATGTTTCTCTCAATGTATTTTGAACATGGATTTTGTTATTAGGAGAACTAAAGCTGGTTGAGCATGTTAACTTTTGAACGTTTTCTTTTCTCATTTCTTTTACTCATAGCAATGGATGTGAATCTCCTAAACTCATCATTAGTAATTCAACCAAAACATTTCACTCTGTCCTTTTAAAAGAGACTGTTTACAATATCTTTATTTTAGCACCTATAAATGTACCAACTTGTCCAAAGAAATTGGCTCCTGGTAGGAACAAAATGTAAGAGGGGGGTCGCTGCATGCAAAGCCTTAGCACCATAATGGAAGTGAGCATTTCATATTTTAATTTGATCAGGTGGGCTGTACCCTGCCAACAGTACTTTATAACTACTTAATATTTCCTAGTCATTCGAATGTAAATAAGCTTGTCAAGAGAATTTGGGTAAATTTTTTATTTTTATTTTTTTTAAGCAAGCATGTTTGGCAGGCAGGTTTTCCCAAGATCACCCAGCTTTAATTTTAAATTTCAAAAGCCTCACATTTAATCCCTTGAGCTGGCCTGGTACCTTGCACCATCTGTTCCCATGGTTTTGTTATAACAGTGAGCACCTGCAGAGTTTTGCAACATTTCAAGCTGATTGTGGACAAAAATCAAAATAATTATAATTTTCATAAAGTAAAGACTTCCATTCAGACACTACAATTCCATCTAATGTGGATTTTGGAAAACCAATCTTGCTTATAATTTGTTTCTTATGGATAAGGGTAATTTATTTCTATTTTGTTTTTGTGGAAGATCAATCCTTTAAAACATATGCACAATCAATGTGGAATTCTCACACTCCAGCCACATCCAGAAAATTCTTGGATAATGCTAGTCAGTTCTTAGATCAGGGCTTCTTGATGTATCTTGATTAGACAAGTCCATTAGTCAACAGCCATAACGAAGTTAGTCTTATTTTTTATTGTTCACACTTTTTGTTGTTTGTTGTCTGTTTGTTTGTATGAATAGCAATGAGATTCTCCACACATTTTATTTTCAAATGTTTTTACACTGTCAATAGAAGTAAAACATGTATGCATTATCCATTAAAGACAGAAAAAGGAAAGATAAGGTGAGTGCTCACCTTCTCCCTATATCTTTGGAATAGAGAAGTCATTCATGTAAACATAGGATTCTGTATTAGAAAACCTGAATGTTGGCAGATCAATGTCTTCTGGTAGGTAAATATCTTGCCAGTAGGCTAGTCATCCATAGGACACTAGATAATTACTTATATAGGATGAAAAAAAGATCTTTTAACATGGATACTCAAGTATTGATCTTTTGCTCTTTGTCTTGGTATTTAGAAAGAAATCTTAAAAACTGTCAATGGCCGGGCACAGTGGCTCACGCCTGTAATCCGAGCACTTTGGGAGGCCAAGGCGGGTGGATCACGAAGTCAGGAGATCGAGACCATCCTGGCTAACACGGTGAAACCCCGTCTCTACTAAAAATACAAAAAATTAGCCAGGAGAGATGGCGTGCTCCTGTAGTCCCAGCTGCTAGGGAGGCTGAGGCAGGAGAATGGCGTGAACCTGGGAGGGGGAGCTTTCAGTGAGCCGAGATAGCGCCACTGCACTCCAGCCTGGGTGACAGAGCGAGACTCCATCTCAAAAAAAAAAAAAAAAAAAAAAAAACCTGTCAATGACACCCACTTTTTAATTTTTTTGTTTAAAGTGTTATCCTTTTATTCAAATTGCATAAAGTTAAAATGTTGACGAGTTTAGAGTCCACTGACCAGTAGCTAAGTATGATTAAGTATGATACATTTGATTTAGTTTTGCTAAAACTCAAAAGAGAGTAATAATTTTGCAGTGTATGTATATTACTTCACTAAGACATCACCAGAAGCATGGTAGAGGGTTGTAAGAGTTTTTTCTCTATAACATTGGAGTTCAGTCAATACCACTTAAGGATGCCCTAAAAGAATATGACAAATAAGAGAGTAAATCTATTGGCCAGAGAGAAAAATCGCCTTTGGACTTGTGGAAGAATGGTATAGCCACCAAAGGTGAACTGCCATGCCAAAAGGAATAGAAGGAATGAATGTGGTGCTCAGTTGAGAAAGTTGAATAAATCGGGGTCTGGTAGAGATTGCTATCCTGGCGACACATTGGTGATAACTGCAATTCATGACAGAATAGAGGCAACTACTAGAAGGGACTGAGATGCTTGGAGAGGCATCTGGAGACAAGATCCTGCTCAAAAAATTAGGCAAGAATTGGTGGTGGTAGACTTGTAGCACAGTGTGTGAGACAAACATTAGCAACACAGAAAGATCTTGAAGAGAAAGGTATACTTTAGAAGGCTAGATATCCAATGTCAGTTAATAGTAGCTAATAACTTAATAACTTAGCAATTTTTTAATACTAATTTCACTACCACTGTATTTTTTTTTTTTTTTTTTTTTTTTTTTTTTTTGAGACGGAGTCTCGCTCTGTCGCCCAGGTCGGACTGCGGACTGCAGTGGCGCAATCTCGGCTCACTGCAAGCTCCGCTTCCCGGGTTCACGCCATTCTCCTGCCTCAGCCTCCCGAGTAGCTGGGACTACAGGCGCCCGCCACCGCGCCCGGCTAATTTTTTGTATTTTTAGTAGAGACGGGGTTTCACCTTGTTAGCCAGGATGGTCTCGATCTCCTGACCTCATGATCCACCCGCCTCGGCCTCCCAAACCACTGTATTTTCTTGCAAAGCTTTTAAAGCTTGAGGAAATTTGTATTACAGTAACAAGATAAATAATTTTGTTTTAAATTTGAGTTAAAACTTTTATTTGGAAAGGTTTCATAGACAGCCTAGTTCAATTTTTTTGCACGTAATCTAACAATCTGAGTAACTCTGAGTAACACCTTTGTGTTTTTTTGTACTTTTTTTTTTTTTTTTTTTTTGCTGTGGGGTATCATTAGACCATGAAGTACTGTTTTAAGTACATGTTTCTTGCCTTCTTTATCTGAAAAATAAAAAGCTGTTGTTAATATATAAGAACAGCACTCATTAAAGAACAAAAAGTGTATATATACTATTTGTTAAAACAATTGTATTATTTAGATATAAGCTAATGAAAATGTCATATACAAATGTAATTTCCAAAACATTTGTCAATGAATAGCAAATTGGAACACAAATGCAGACCTTCTTACTCTCATGGCCAGAGTACCAGAAACATTAATAAATCAGGAGTCAGACAACTTGAGTTCTTGGCCCAATTTTCTATTTAGTAGCAGAAAGAACTTGAGAAATAAGGATTATGAGTCACTTAAACTCTGGGTTTCCTAATCTTTTGAAACTATATTATGAGCTTCATGTGGGCAGGGATTTTATTTGTTTTGTTTATTATGCTGCTACAGAACTGTGATAAATGAGGATTTGGACAGAAGATCTCTTCAATCTTTGCTGGTTCCAATATTCACAAAATAATAATGTGATAGTATGTGATAATATACTACACTAAAAAAGCTGTGTTTTATCTAAGAGAAAGACAGTGTTAGAAATGACAGAATGATACTTGTAGTCTTTATTTTATATAGTGCAGTGAATCCAATTGCTCAAGGAATTGATATTTTGTTGCCAGACTGATTCAGTCTCAAAATTATTTTCACTTTGATTAGACCCTAGTAGTTTATATACATGTATATTGTAAGGTAGATACCGGCATGTTATCCAAATTGCGATCATTTCAGTCATCACATACCAAATTATTTTTTGATATTATTCTTAGAGTTCAGATCTCCAGTTGTGGCTTGATTTGATAGCTGGCTGGAATTATGCACATTCTGAGAAGTGAACATTATCATGTATCAAGGCTGTTGACATTGACTTCTGAAAATTTTACTCAAATTTTACTCAATTTTTTAAGCCCCAAATAATTCTATATTATGTAGAGAGTGATTAACACCATGAGTTCATAAACACACACACACAAAGCATATTTCAAAACGTCAGCTAAAAATATAAATGGATGGTTTCACTGAATTATTAACTATATAAATTTAAAATATTTTAACAAGCAAAATACCTTTTTTTCATTTTGCCATCACTGTCATAAAATGTACTTGTCAAACTTTTAAATTAAGAAACTCTATATTTTATCCCTCCTATAACCAGTCCCTTCTACATCCCCCTCCCCGACAAAATAACTACATTGAAGCTGCTCTTGTCATTTTGGGCCAATGTAAATTCTTCAATTTTTTTCAAAGAACAATAAGAAAAAAACATATATTTACATATTTATAATATATATTATTTAATTATTTATATATTATTATTAATTATTTATATATTTTATATATATATATAGTTTCGCTTTTGTCGCACAAGCTGGAGTACAATAGTGCGATCTCAGCTCACTACAACCTCTGCCTCCAGGTTTCAAGTGACTCTCCTGCCTCAGCGTCCCGAATAATTGGGATTACTGGCACCTGCCACCACGCCTGGCTAATTTTTGTATTTTTAGTACCAGATGGGGTTTCATCATGTTGACCAGGCTGGTCTTGAACTCCTGACCTCAGATGATCCACCTGCCTCAGCCTTCCAAAGTGCTGGGATTACAGGTGTGAGCCACCATGCCGGGCCAAAGATACATATTTTTTTCTTCTCCTTTTATGACACTGCTTTCCTGCTATTCCTATTCGCCATCCCCTTTTTTTCAATTCTTCATTTTACTTCCAGTTCCACAGGCTCTCTTTGGAACTTTGTATTTCACTTTCTTAACATGTTCCTTTGAAGAACCTCCTATTGTTATTATGGACACTACTACCTTCATGATGCCCTCACATTTATGCTGGCCATTTATCATACTGATAATGCTCCGTATATTTACTGTAGGTTTTCCAAGTTAAATTTATTTGGGATATACTGGATTGCTTTCTAGTTTATTTGGATTATTTGTATGTATGTATGTCTGGATGTCTGCTTAATTTGTTTTGCTTTTTCTTTTACCACTTGTCAAGTTTAACCCTGCTGAGGCAAGTACAAGTGATGCCTCAACAACTGAGATTCAATCAGTCATCTTGGAAATGTGAGATCTTTATAGATTACATTGCAATATTCACTCATGGAAAAAGTTACACAGATAATTTTTGTATTAATAAAAAGCCATACTTGAATCGTTCCTGAAAAAAAAATGGCAGCTACAACTTTAAACTCACCACAGTGAAATGATTATCACATCACCATATGAACTGACCAGCTCAGCACGTCAAGCCCAGTGTACATAGGTTTGTCTTACATATAGTTGTCTTACTTCTCCTACCTTGAGGACATTGATTACTGTTGACTTTTATATCCCAAGCTGTCTAGCATATTACCTGAAATATGGTGGTCATACAGCAACAATATTATTGTTATTATTTTAATAAATGAATGTTTTAAAGTTAGGCAAAGCCTCAAAACATGGCATTCTAAAGGATGGCCATTTATATAGAAAGCCACGGAAATTTTAGGATGGCTAAAGATTATTTAACCCCATTTTAAAGAGCTATTTTTATAAAATGTATTTCACTGGTTACAAGGAAATCATGCTTCCACTGTTCCATGTCTTCCCTTGTACTTTTTCTTTATTTCTTTTCTTTTCTTTCTTTTTTTTTTTTTTTTTGAGACGGAGTCTCACTCCATCGCCCAGGCTGGAGTGCAGTGGTGGGATCTTGGCTCACTGCAACCTCTGCCTCCTGGGTTCAAGCAATTCTCTGCCTCAGCCTCCCGAGTAGTTACTTTTTCTTTCATTTTAAGTAAAAACAAATAGTGATTTTCAAGCTTCCACAAGTTTCAAAGCATATGCCCTCTTTACTACATCTTTGATTTCTTAGCTTCCTCTCGAATTGCCCCCATGTCTTTGTACAAGCACTTCTTTAAAGTTGTATGAAATGCAAATCAAAATTGAACCTTAATTTTTAAAACTTTGCACTACCTCTTTTGGCTAGAATTTCTTGTGATAATAGACTCTGAAATATATTTAAGATGCTGACTTTTATTTTTTAACAGTAAAATTGAGTTTTTAATCACGAGGAAAATAAAACACTTATTTCAATTAAGACAATTTTTATCTAGTTAAATAATTTTCAGGTTTTTCCATTTGTTTTATTTTCTACTTTTCACATGTTCCATGTGGTTATATTTAGGTAAAAGTTAAGAAACAACGATACATAAAGAAAAAATATTTGAATTATTTATAAAACTACTTCAAAAGAATCATTTTTAAAATAAAATTGCCTTTTAAAAGGGAGAAACAGTCTGAAAAAGATTGTTTTCAACTCAACAGTTTTTCATTTTATATTCTTTACTATATTTTTTAAAGCCTAAGCCACTTATTTTATAAGATGATACTAATAACAAATCAAATTTTCATTTTATGTATCAATTGACCTCTAAATTGAGAAATATATATATATTAACTATATTAAACCTCAAATTTTTTAGTTCACTAACTCCCTAAGCCCTGAATACTGTTAAGGTACTAGTTTTGGAGAAAGAACCCTTATTTTAATATCTTATTTCTGTCACTATGACCTAGGAAAGTTATATAACTCCTGTGGCCCTCTCTTCATCTGTAAAATAGAATAATAATAGCATAAATTCATGTCTGTATTGTAGGGTAGATAAGCAAATGTATTCAAAAAGCTTAGGATGTATCTAGGACATGCTAAAGTCTCCATAAGTGTAATTATTTTACTAATACCTATAGTTGCTTAATGGATATCTCCTGTGAAACAAGTAACTGTCTTTGACCATCTTGTTACTTCATTTTCTCATAAAGATAAATTAATATTAAAATGAGATTTAATTAACCTTCATAGTGATAAGGTCTCCAAATTCTTTGCTTAGACATTTTGAAACATTACAACCAAAAGTAAGAACACTAAAGAGATTTCATATTTCTTGAGCCTTTACAAGTTGCCAAGCACTGTGTTAGGCACAGGCACTTTCTTATCTATCTTTCTTATTGGCACTACCCCCCATACTGGAGTCAAAGTAATGGAGGCTCCCAGAAGTTAAGTAGCACACACTGGAGGTGACAGCAAGACTTCAAATGTCTGTCTAACTCTACAGCTAGGAATTTTTTGTAAAACAAGAACCAAAGAATGTCACTATCCTGCTTAACACCTTTCAATAGCTTTTCGTTGCATATAGAATACAGTGATATCCAAATGTCTTACCACCTAAATGCGGCATTTTCCCTGGTCTGTGCCTGACTTCCTAACCTCATCTTGTCTGGGCTTTCTCCTCATCATTCCAGTCATTCTGAAATGCCATGTTTGTTTTTGCCATAGCAGAAATCTAAGAATTGCTGATCTAGAATTATCTGGCCTCAGATCTTTAAATAATTGGCACCTGTGCATTATTTTTCTCAGTTCCGTCTCACCCATACAGGATTTCCCTGGCCACCCAGTCTAAATAATGGTCTCAAGATCTGTTTTCCCCAGTGTCTCTCTAGCACATCACCTTACTTTATTTGCTTCAAAGGACGTATTGCTATCTGAGGTTGCCTTATTTTTTAAAAATAAAATTTGTTGTCTGTGTTCCCTGATAGAACATGAGCTATCTCTCCATTTCCTAGTGGCCAATATTTATTGAGTAAATGAACGAATAGAGCTCTATACTTACAATTATAGCATTTCTGATAACATGACAGCTCTTACCTAGCAGTTCGACTTCTTTTATTTATGATAGCATATTGAAACTTTAAGCACATACTTTAAGTCTAGACTCATTTTATATTTTTTCATTCCATCTGACATTGTTACTTTGAGAAACAGAATTCGACAATAAAATCAACAAACAATAAACATCCAAAATTAGGACCGTAAAAATAAAACACCAAGGCTAAAACTTTTTATAAAGGCACAATTCTATTAAACCCATAATTTATCTCTGAAAATTATATAACTTATTATAGGTTGAATATGTACATCATATCTAAGTTTTAAGAAAATTAATATTCTTAATCTGAGATTTGAAGCATTTGTACTCTGTGAAGAGACTTGCACAAATAAAATCTATTGAATTACTACGTTACAATATGTTAAATATTGTATTGTTAAATAATGTTACTATGTTACAATATGTTAAAATTAAAATCTAAAGAAAGTTTGTTTATTTAAGGCAACATAAGTCAATTCCTTTGATTGATATTTTGAATTTGTATAATTGACCTCTCAACAATTTATGTGTAACACAACAAAATTTGCATTATAAAGGACACATAGTTATTCATTTTAATAATTAGTGCTGATCAAAACTGCTATATAATCATTTGTATATTATAAAATGAAGAACTTTTGAGGATCTGCATCTACGTTTCAAAACTTAAATAACAACCTCTGACTTCTAACCGACTTAGAAAATAACTGAAATATTATATTATTTATGTAGTGTACTCCCAATATCAAGCATTACATTTTTAAATAAATGTTTTTTCTGCTCTTTAGTACAGATGCTGGTTTAACAATTCATGCATTAGATATTTGGAAGTAAATTATAAATTTTATTATTATGGAGCCATTAAATAAATATGATACATTATTTTTAAATAAGTACAGAATATGTAAAATTCCATATATCTCAATGCAGTGTGACTGCTTTTTATATTGAAAATCTTATGATGACTTAATACCCGAGTGTGGTTTCAAGTTAGTGTGCTACAAGTGCTTCTGCTATTTTTGATTTTCCTTTTAGGACTTATTGGAGGAAGAGAGAGAGAGAGAGAGAGCATTCAGAGCGCCAGTAAAAAACAAAATCAATGCTTTGCTGCTGTTGTTGCTGTTGTTGGGCTATAAACACTCTACTTTGGTTGGTTATAATGCTACCAAAATCCACAGTACTTAATTTATCTAACCTTCTGATAGTGAATGAACAAAGGTAAAAATAACAGGCTAGTTATAAACTAGTACTATGGTGATGACATTGTGAATTATTTAAAAAGGGCATATTCAATGTGACCATAGAGCCATCAATCATAATAGACATTGATGAGAAAAAGAGGTTTCAGTCACTTCCTATCTGCAAGGAGAACAATTCTATCTCACAGGTAGCTATGAAGTGCTGGGTGACCTGATGTCACTTGCATTGTTGCTCTACCCTTTGAACGGAGAGAGTAGATTCTCTCAATATTAGAATCGAATGAGTAAATAAATTCGCAGTTCACTGCCACTTTCCTTCCGAGTGCACACTTCAATTTGTCTAACAATAGAGAGGACAGAAAAGCAGAAATCTCTTAAAGCGTGGATGAATTTTTTATGGTATGTTCAAATCCAGCTGCAAAGGATGGGGTTTTAAATGGTAGCAGACACTCTTTTAGAGGGAGCCCCAAGAGACGAAATCTTTTGGAAGGGTTTTGTATTGAATTCATTCCTTTCCACTTACATCCGTGGCTTTTCTTCTTCTGAAGCCCTGCTTTTACTAAATTGTTCCACTATCAAGTTCACATTGATTTTTAAGATGACAAATAGAAACACTTCCTTTATCTTTAATATACACACACACTACAGTAGAATTTCCATTTCAAATGCATAAGAACAGTTTTTAAAGTGCATGCACGTAATACTATTTTATTTGTCTGTTTCATTCAATAGGAAGATTAGGATTGCAGGAGAAGAAAGAGGTGGCTAGTTAAAATATTTTAAGAAAACACTATACTAACAAATTTAACCTCTTTCTTCTGTTCAAATATTCAGAATAATTTCATTTACCACAATCCCTCATCTCAGAGTTTTCTATTTGAAAGTTATCATAGCATGCATTAATTTACATTACCTAAATTTTTGAGTATCACATTTCCCTCATCATAGAATCCTACAAAATCCTCTGGCATTTACAAACTACAAAGCTACAAAAGTGTGCATATTTTCTTATATGCTAAAATCTACTGCTTCATTCCAGCACATTAACATTTATGACATAAACTCAAGAATGGTATGGACGTTTTTTTACAAAGTTTTTTTTTAAATTAGAAAATGTAGATAAATAGGCTTTCCTTTTCTACCTCTATTCCTCCTTCCCTTCTGCCACCCACATTACTAACCCACTCTATTAGAGCAGAAATATGAAACATGTTTGCATTGCATTCTGCATCTATGGCATAGTCACTTGAAGCATGTACACTATTCATTTTTATTCACATTTCCTCTCTAATATATTCTGGAAGTATATTCATCTCAATGTAACCTCTGAAACCACTTTAAAAATGTGTACCACCACTTAATTGTTGATAACAGGTAAATCAAAGGTAAAAAGATAACTAATTAATTTTCTAGTTCAGTTTTATTTTGCTGGTACTGTTTTCAGAAAATATAACAAAACCCCATTAGTGTTAAGGTAAGCCCATGAAACAACATAATATAATGCAAAAAAGACATTTAATAGTGTAGAGGAATGTTAAATTACTAATTAACTCCAAGTTACTGTATAAGAAAGCATAGTAATTTACAGGATTATTGCAATATGCAGCTTGGATTGCCACTAGGGTCAGCTAGGGAGCATTTCTTTCTATACCCCCCCGCCTCTTAGTGTGGTGGTTACTGTAAAAATCTTCTCACATTAAAATGCACTGTCCTACCCACAGTTCATTGCTGCTAATTAGCAGCAGTTGAGATTTTGCTAGCAGTCATTTTTTTCTGTGTTAAGCTGCCAAATGTTACCAAATGCTCAAGATTCTCCATGCACAAAGTGTCCAGCTGCCCAGCTTGCACCACTGTGTGTGTCTTTCAGCTGTTTCCTGTCAACTTTAACACCTGTGCAAAGAAAACACTAATCAAATTATCTGTACTGGCTTTTGTTATCAGAGGGAAGGTTATCAAAAGTGTTCTGGATACTTTGGCACATGCTCATCATCTACTGCTAGAAAATCTCACTAGACACACACACATATACACACACACACACAGACACACACACACACCTTTTCATCTAAGCATCCAATTGAGACCATGGCTCTCTAAAACTTAAATCACTCCAATATCTGCCATGTCAAAGTCAAGTGTTTGCACAGTCTATTTAAACTTTTATTTAAGCAATAAGGCTTGGGAAAGTCATCTTTTAGTTTTACCTAAATATATAAGAAGAATGCCATAACTTTGATTAATAATTGATTAAATAAACCATTCCTACATCAAAGACAGGAAGAAGAGCTGTTCGCTGAAAGGCTAGACTATCAAATAGGACTTTGTTGTCTTCAACATTGCTTTAGAACTACAGCATTACAGAGTAAGAAGAACATTAATTTTTGAGGCCTTAAATAATCACATAAAATAAAATTGGCTCCTTTTCTCCTTAATTAAACACTAGTAGTGTTAAAACACTATAAATCTAGAAATAATCACATAGCCTAATAATTTCCTGTCTATTCCATTGGCTTTATGACTAATTTATATTTAACCTTCTTGGGAACCTACGATCAGAATGTACTTTCTTAAAAAATTGAAAGCAACTGTCATTGGTGTCTAATACCTGAGCAATAGGGAATAGGGTCTTAAAAATGTTTTAAAACTAAAAGGTGATATATAATGTATTACACTGCTTGTAAGGTTTAATAACACATAGCCACTGCTTTCTTACAATTACAGGGCAATTGATAAATACATAACTCTTTTGTTCTGATTTTCTATTTATCATGATGTATTAAAGTGATTGTGTTAAGTATATAAATGTATGCTAATATTTACATCAATAACAGCATTACAGTAAATTTAATCAGACAACCAGACTTGAAAGGGGCAGATTTCGGCCTATATGTTATATTTGTTTCATATAATTTTTTTAAGATCTTGGTTGAAATTTTATAGTATAACTGAATTTATTTTTACTTTGTTTTTACTTAAAAAAGGGAAAAGGACTATAAAATATACCTGCGATATGAGTATAAAATTCATTGTGCTGACAGGAATGAATCCACTCAGACTATGATCAAAACTGTAGCAAAACTGTAGCCCTAGGGTAACACAGAATGAGTGTCAACTACATTTTGCTATTAAGTTTCACAAAAATCCCCTCTAGGATTTTCAATCACAATATTTGGAATCTATATTCATGTTACAGTTACAAAATAATAGCGAAGACTCATAAAAAGTATAAGAGCTTCAATTTCAGAGACATAATTTTGTGATTTAAGAAAAAATATTCTTTTAATTTTTATTTTTTATAAAAAAGGACAACTTTTGTTTAATATTCATGGCTAGCTTACTAGAGATTTATATAAAATTTCTGCTTGTATAGCATTACTCTTTTTAATATACTATTTATTCAGCCCAAATTATTAAACAAGTACAAAGATAAGACAGTATCACTATGATTCCTGATCAAATACTTTTGGTTTCTCCTCTTTCTTTCGTTCTGTGTATATCTGCACTCGAAGACAGACAGCTGGTAGAGGAACTTAAAAGGTTGCTTTTTAATTCACAGCAAAACAAATGATTTTATAGATACTGTTGGATAAATGTACAAAAAACATTATTTAAAGCCAATAATTGATTCTACCTGTCCAAGTACCTGATCCTTCATAAGCAAATAAATGCCTTCCGAGTATGAAGCAGGACTTTGTACAAGTTGATTAACCTCACTGAACCTCAATAACTCAGTCTGTAAAGTGGGATTCATAATACCTAGCTTTTATTTCTGTGTAGATGAATAGTCTGTGTGAACCAGAATGGGGAGGTCTTGTACTTTCGTGATGGGTTGCATATCTTCCTGATGCAGGAGTGGCCAGACTCCATGAGCCACTGCTAGTCATGGTTGCCCTGATTTCTTCTTTATCAAATTTTGCATAGGAAGGAGTTGAACATAATAAACTCAAACTGCAGTGTAGCTCACTAAAGATGATAGGACCTCTTCTCCTCCAAAAGATACATTTTTGTGTGAAATAAGACTAATTGATCCATTGGATGGCTGAAAAATTATCCTCTAGGTGAGTTGGATTGAGAGAAAGATTAGCTGTTTGAAATTGATGTTCCTATAGCACCACGGAAATTTCATGGAAGACTCTTACTAATAACATCATCCCTTCTTACATATATGTCTTGTAAATTTGACTTTTTAAAACACTCATGTGTTAGTCAGAAATAATTTTCTCTAAGGCGCTATTAAAATGTGACATATTATTATTTTGTGGGCTTTGAAGAGGAATTGAAAATAATTAAAAATGGCTGCTAAAAAAGTAAATATGTGTGGCATGAAGAGCCTAGAGGCAGCTGATAATCTCTAGTTGGATTACTAGCAATAAGATGTGAATATGTGGTCCTTAGGGAGAAAAGCCACTAAATAAGCTTTGATTTGTTTCCTCAAATAATGAACTTCATGTAATCCTGTATAATATGAGCTTTGGTACAATTTTGGACAGGACAATAACTAAGTAGTTACTAAAGACTTATAAAGTAGAAATAGTCTTGATTTCACTTGAAAAATAAATAGCTATGCTAGGCAGCATTAAAAAGGTGATGTATAATGAACGATGACGATGGTGTTGATGGCCACCATTTGTGAAGCCCTTACCAGGTGCTAACCATTTATCATTCAACAAATAGTATGGGTTTCCTACTCTGTGCCAGACATCAGTCTAGGTGTTGAAGGAAATAGCAGTTAGCAAAACAGGCAACATTTTTGACTTCTTAGGCTTATATTCCATTGGAGGGAGAGAGGCAATAAATAATAATAAACAACTGAGATAAACAATTCCACTGAAGTAAATATTTTAATCCCAATTTCATGGATGAGGAAACAGACAGAAAGGTTAAGTCATTTGCCTGTATTCCAAAGCTGGCATATGGCAGAGCCAGAATCCAACCTATAGCTGTATGATTCTTTCTAGTACATTTTGCTATGTGTCAGTAAATATACACTACAGGAAAAGAGACAGATGTGGATTTTGTTGTTTTGTGTTGGAACTAAACCATGGTTTCTTAAACAAAGACATCTCTGGCTCCATTTCTAAAGGAGGCATAGTATTTATATAGAATTTACACTGGGCACATTCAAAAGTAAAGTGCAGATATACACTGAATTGTGTTTGGAAAACAGAAGATTTATTTGGCATAGCAGAAAGTAGAAGGATATAAGAAGGAGGTAAGGTCCTTGTTGGAAGAACACGAGTGACAGATGAAAGGATCTTGACTATCCTGCCTACAATCCATAGGCATATTAAAAAAATTTAAGGTAAGTAAACCTGGTAGTTGCATTATAGAGAGATTAATCAGGTTACTGTGAATGCACAAAAGTTGAAGAAGTAAGAGATTAGATGTCAGAGTGTCTAGTTAAAGGCCAATACAATAGTGTAAAATCAGGTTAAGTTGATTGCAGTAAAACAAACCAATTCAGAAAAAATTACAAATAATCTAACTAGAAAAAATGATTAAGGGAGAGGATTTAGGTTTAGAGGAGCAACTAAGGAGGAGTAAAAAATGATATGAGCTCAGAGCTGGAGAAGAGTGGAATTATTCATGGAAATTAGAAGGTCAGGAATGGGGCCAATTTCTAGAAGATGTTAGGTTTTAGACGTGATGAATCTGAAATGCTCATGCTGAGTCTGAAATGCTCAGACTGTAAATCACTGGCCTATACTCTTTACTTTAGTCCATGCCATCAGTTGCACCTTGTCTTTTCTAGCCACCTCAAAGTTCTTTCCAATAAAGGAAGGCTCTTTCACGGTTCTAACTCCCTGAAAAACCAAGTAAAGTCTTCTGATTCTTGACATGTTTTGTCTTCATCTGGAAAGTCAGATTTAATCAAACCTACTTCACTTGAATCATTTTTTATTAGTATATCAAAATCTCAACAGAGTTGTCAATAGTCAATTTTTTATTTGTGATCTTATTGCAAAAAAATCTAAAACAAAAAGGTAATAAAAATGCATGTGAAAATATCAATACCAAAACACATGAAATATGTTTGGAGAAATAATCCTGACTTGATCCTGACTATAAAATATAGTTTCTTTTCAAATTCTGCTAACCTGGAAATATATTTACTTAGTTTTATCCAGTGTAGATAGAATATTGTACTTTGCTTTTGAAAAGAAAGGTTAATTTTGGATGAAATAGAGTAGGAAAAGTGAGAGCTGAGAATAACCAGCTTTTATCTTCTTCCTTCCCGGCCACCGAAAGAAGCCAGTGCCTGGGATTCTGAGATGCAGCCACATCATAAAGTTTCATTACTCAATTGCAGTAGAGAAAACCTCAAAGGAACCACTTCTAATGGAAACTGCCTCAATTCCTGGTCAAGTCTCACAGTCTAACCTGGAGGTGCTCTGAGGTAGGGGCAGATAGTTTTAAAAAGTTCACTTCATAAGAAGTTACAAACTAATTGTAAAGTATCTCAAAAATGATCACGATATCCCTTTTCTCTTATGGTATATGACTAATAACTTGATATATTTTTAAGGCTCTGTAGCATAAAAATTATTTTAAAAGATCATTTAGTACTACCCTACTTTTTAAAGTAAATGCTACTGAATATAATATAAACCTTCTAATAGTTTATAATGTTAATTCATCTTTTATTTTTTCTGAATTATTATTTAGTTCTTCATTTAATTTTTCAGGGTCAATTTATTTTTCATTTCCTTTCTGGACATATTAATTTCAGTTTTAATTTTCTACTGCCATGACTTCAAAAGGTTACTGAATTGCGTCACGTCTAATCTGTTTAGATATGGTCAAACTCTCACCACTGCTCTACGTTAGGCCTAAGTTAGGTTTAAATGGGAAGGTGGATAGTATATCCGGGGAGGGGGAAGGGGAGGGGGAAGGGGAGGGGGAAGGGGAGGGGGAAGGGGAGAGGGAAGGGGGGGGGAAGGGGGGGGGAGGAGGGAGAGGGAGAGGGAGAGGGAGAGGGAGAGGGAGAGGGAGAGGGAGAGGGAGAGAGAGAGAGAGAGGCCCAAAGTAGGAAAACTCAGGCAGGAGTTAACGTTGCAGCCTTGAGGCAGAATTTCTTTTCTAAGAAATCCTGAGTTTTGCTCTCAAGGCCTTCTACCTGATTGGATAAGCCTCATCCACATTAAAGAGGGCAATTTCTTTTATTTAAAGTCAACTGATTATAGATGTTAACCACATCTACAAAATAAAATCACAGCAACCCCCAAGATGAGTATTTGATTAAATAACTGGGTACTATAGGCTAGCCATCCTGATGCATAAAACTATTGTAGATAGATTTAACAAACTGTTTTTATGATAGTTTCATGGTTTTCAAAGAGTAATTCATTTTAAAGATACTCATTGAGTGACTTTTGTGTGCCAGGCACCAGTATGAATATAAACTTAGGAATACGAAGCAGGCTAAGATAAACTCCTTGCCTTCCAAGAACTTACAGTGTTATCAGAAGATAGATATACAAATAAGTTAATATGATGCAACTTGATGAATGTTAGTTTTAAGCACAAGCAGAGGAAGATGGGAGCATAGAGAAGGGGAAATTTCTCCTGCGCAGTTAGTTCAAGAATTCTTCCTGGAGAAAGTGACCTCTGAACTAAATGTTTAGGGATTCTGTAATTTACTAAGCAATACTTACAAAAATCTGTTATGCCAGATGCAGTTCTAGGGGCTGGGATTCTATAGAAAAGATCTCAACTTTCATAAAGATACCTTCTGGGGAGGAAAGTGAGACACTAACACAAGCAAACAAATAATTAAAATCTTCAGTAGTGATGAGAGTGATGAGAGCTACTTAAAATATATCAAGGTTGTATGATTCAGCCTCCATTTTGCTATTGTAACATTTAAGCTGATACGTGGAAGACAACAAAGAAATAATGAGTAGGTGAAAGGAAATGCATTTCCAAGCTTCGGAAACAGCAACAGTAAAAGCAAACCAACAGTCGCAGCTAGAGCAGCATTAAAAGATTTTATTTATTTAAAATTTGCTTTTGAAAAACGCTTGATCCACTCTAATTGTCATATTTTATTTACATTAAATTTAAATATTAAATAATACCTTAGTGTAATTTAAATTCACCTCCTTGGTCTTAATAGTAACTGTGCTTTATTTCTTGTCTCCCATCTTCTTTATACTCTTCTTAAGATATCACATGTATATGTGAATTTGCTATAACTGACTTACAAATTTTTAAGTAACGGGGAGTCTTTTTACCTGGTGCAGTTTAAGAACCCATTAAACACAAAGTACTGAATAACTGAAGAATGGATGTGGTAGGCTGGTAACAGCTCCCAAAGTTACGTCCAAAGATACGTTACATCTCCCCGGCACCTGTGTATGTTACCTGATATGCTAATTTTTTTTTAGATGTGACTAAGTTAAGGATTTTGAGATGAAGAGACCATCCTGAATTATCTGAGTGGGTCCTGAATGTCATCACAAGAAGCCTTAGAAGAGAGAAGCATGAAAACCAGAAGAGGAGGAAGAGGCAACCGGGCCATGAAGACAAGAGATTAGAGTGATGTGGCCACAAGTCAAGAAGTGCCGGCCTCCAGCAAAAAACTGGAAGTCAGGAGCAGGATCTCTCCTAGAGCCTGTGGAGGGAATGTAACCCTGCCAATAACTTGATTTTGGCCCAGAGAAACTGACTTCAGACTTCTGGCCTTCAGGATGGCGAGAGAATTAAATCGCTGTTGTTTTTAGCCCAGTATGTGGTAATTTTGTTACAACAGCCACAGAAAACTAGTACAGTGGATTTTTAGCAGTAGAATTAAATTAGCAGTGGATTAAAGAGCAGTAGAATTGTGATTTTATCAACACTTACTGGATGGCAGATTTCCTCTGCAGCAGAAGAGAATAAAATGTTGCCTAGGTGATGCTGACCACCAAAACTTCTGCCATGGACTCAGCAGTGTGAACAGACCCTGGGAATCTATGTACACATAAAACACCATGAACATTTTGCATTTTCTGATTTGAACTGAATAGGCGTTCTACTCTGTAAATATTTACAAAAAAACTAAATATATATTTATGTTAACCCTTTGCTAGAGATTTTTAAACAAACAAAAAAATACCAGATCTTATTCACCATTTTTGATGTCAGTAAAGTGTGTTACGCAAATTGGCTTCAAAAATTAAAACCTGTAACAAACTTTGAGTCTTGAAATGCATGCTATGTATGATCTTAAAAACATGTAGGTAGGCTTATTAGTTCATAGAGGTTCATAGTATTTCATATGTTTTTCAGACTATATGTAGGGAATTGCTGACAAATCTTGGTATCACTAAATCCATTATCATGTTCTGAAATGTCACCAAATTGAGCCTACATATTGTGAAGAGTGAGTGTATGGCCATATAGTGTATGGCCTCAAGATTTTGTCTTATAATTTAAGTTTCAATGTCCACACCTCATCTAAATTAGGGTACCATTTGGACTATCATGTTTAATAAATTTACCACTAAGTAATTACATTAAAAACAAATTTATCTTAAAGATGTATAAATTGTTTTCATTGAAGAAGGTAGTTACTTTGGTAGCCTGTTAACAAAGCCCTGGGAATTATAAGACTGTATTTTCATGGAGGCATACATGTGTAGTAATTGTAAAATGGTTCTGTTTTCATATCTGGATCTTTTATATGTGTGTCTGAATTAAGAAATTCCCATAATAAAATAAAATCTTAATTTAGCAAAATTAATATATAGAAAGAAATTTTATAAATCATAGACTTTTAAGATGATCAAATAACCTTGCTGATCATCTAGTCTCACACCTTTTTTGTAGAAGGCTAGACTAAAATTCATAAATGTAAATGATCTCTCTAAAGGCATATGGCAAGCTATTGGACACACCAGGAATAAAACCCAGGTCTTGGCCGGGCGAGGTGGCTCACGCCTGTAATCCCAGCACTTTGGGAGGCCGAGGCGGGCGGATCACGAGGTCAGGAGATTGAGACCATCCCGGCTAAAACGGTGAAACCCCGTCTCTACTAAAAATACAAAAATTTAGCCGGGCGTAGTGGCGGGCGCCTGTAGACCCAGCTACTTGGGAGGCTGAGGCAGGAGAATGGCGTGAACCCGGGAGGCGGAGCTTGCAGTGAGCCGAGATCCCGCCACTGCACTCCAGCCTGGGCGATAGAGCGAGACTCCGTCTCAAAAAAAAAAAAAAAAAAACCCAGGTCTTCTGACTCCTAGTCCAGGACTCATCACAAACACCATGACTCATTACTTTCATTGTAAAAGACTCTGGCACAAGCTGTTAACTGGTTAAATGGCTAAAGGAGGAAAGGTAAAATAGTAAAACAGAGTGAAAGTGATACCACCCTATTGAAGATCATTCTAAATTAAACATAGATGTCTTTGAGATTATAAATAAAAATATACTTTGAATATATTTGACTACAAAGTCAATTTTAAAATATTCAAAGTTAGTTCTTCAAAAAACTAATAATAGAACTACAATATGATCCAGCAATCCCACTACTGGGTATATATCCAAAGGAAAGGAAATCAATATGTCTAAGAGACATCTGTACTTCCATGTTCATTGAAGCATTACTCACAGGAATCAAGACATGGAATCAACCTAAGTGTTTATCAGTGGATGAACAGATAAAGTAAATGTAGTATATATACACAATGGAATACTATTCAGCTTTGAAAATGAAGGAAACGCTGTCATTTAAGACAACGTTAATTCAGCCTGGAGATCATTATCTCTAGGTTGTGAAATAAGAAAGACAAATACTGCATGATCTCACTTAAATGTGGAAGCTAAAAAAGTTGAACTCACAGAAACAGAAAGTAAAATAGTGGTTACCAGAGTCCTGGGGGTTAGTAGCAGGGATGGAAGGATTGAGAAGATGTTGGTCAAAGAGCACAAAACTTCAGCTGGACCGAAAGAATAAGTTTAAGAGTTCTATTGTACATCATAATGACTACAGTTAACAACAATATATTGTATAGTTGAAAATTGCTAAGAAATTGATTTTAAGTGTCTTCGCCACAAAAAGAAAATTATGTGAGGTAGTGGACATGTTAAATAGCCTCATTTAGCCATTCCACAATGTATACATACATCAAAACATCATACGGTATACCATATGTATATATAATTTTTAACTGTTGATAAAAAAATAAAAATTTGAACAAATATATATTTTATCTTTCAAAGAAGATTCAGAATTTAAAATATTAAATTTAAAATATAGAAATGTTAGTCTAAGTTTGGATTTTCTAATACAAAATATTGCTGCTTAACACTAAAGAGTAGGTAAAAATACTAGTTTAATTTTTTTATCATTTCCAAAAGATTTTAGTATTCTTTAAAATAGTCTCACTTATCTTAATTGTTCATTAAAGATCTATAATCCATTATGTATATGTATATTGAAAGGAAAAGACCTAGTTTTGGGCCTTTATTTTGGAAAATCTATGACTCTTTGACTCTGTTTTCTCATCTATAAAATGGACTTTTGAGAACATTCAACTAACTTGCAATTATGGTGAGAATTAATATGTGAAAGAAAGTGCTCAGCTTCTGTCAAATGCTTCTTGTGGGGTGTGTGTGTGTGTGTGTGTGTGTACATGCCTGGGCATTTGCATGTATTTGTGTGCCTGTGTTTGTGATAATAATTTCTATTTATGTCATGATCTAGTGGTGCAAAGACAAAGGGTATGTCTATTTAAAAAGCTAGAGTGCAAGAAAGAAAGACAAGAAATACTTCCTTCAGTAAAAAATAGATTTAAAGGGAGGGATTAGTTTTATTGAAACTATGACTGCTGCTTCTCATTGTCAGGGAAAGTAATATCACTAGGAGTTACATGGAACAAATGCTTAAATAAATGATCGGGATAGATAGCTACTTACTCTGACTAATAGGAAATGAGTGACCTTTAAAATGACTCAGATTCCCAAAAATCTCTGACTCCATTCTATAATCTGTGTTTTGTTCCATATAAAATTAAACAATAAATATAGTTAGGAGCAAAATTACAAATCTAAAAGAGATGAGGACTGGGAACCCGGGGACGAAAGTTCTACTCTTTTGTTCTTACTCACTTGGTTTGTGACCTTGAACAAATCACTATACCCTCCCGGGCTTCAGCCCCATTACTTTCAACATGAAGGGGGTCTAAGGTCCCTCCAGCTTTAACACTTGGTGACACTATGATTCCAGTTCATAGCTTCTTGCTCACAATATTTGACACTTTGTTGACATACTGTCAGAAACTTTACACATTTTCCAAAAGCCATCACAGAGTATTATCAGGTCATTAATGTAGAGTTTTAAGAGGAAACTATAAAACGTCTTTCACTGGGTATTTGTTATAGCAACTACGTTTATACTGTTGGATTCCTCCGTGATGATAGATAGATAGACAGATAGATAGATAGATGATAGATAGATAGATGGATAGATAGATAAAGATATACTTCCAAAAGAAATCAAATATGTTAGGCTAATACACTATGAGTAATAAAGTTGTACTACAAGTATGTGTGACAAAAATATCTTCATGTAAATCTTCTGCTTATTCCTACTCAGCTAATGACATAGAGATAAAATGTATCTGAGCCCATTTGTGCTTACTAATGTAAAAAGTAATAATTTATTTATTTGTGTGTGTATATATACACATCAGTGTATGTATACGCATATATGTAAATAGAAAAATTCTGGAAAAATTGCTAAAAGATGTATACATTATAATGTTTTACTATATATACTTCTGTACCATTTCACTTTTCCACAATGAGCATGTAACTACTTAATTATAAATTAAAAAAGAAAACAGAAAATATAAACATTTCTAGCCTTATGCAAAGTTGTGTAAATTTCTTTTGTAGATTTCTGTGATTTATTTATTTTCCCTTCATAAATGGCATATACATGTAATATATATCTCTATCTTTCACTAGCTGTGTCTGTATGTATAAATAAATTAAATCCAGTATGTGTTGAGCACTAAATGTACCAGGCATTGGTCTAAGCACTTTAATTATGATATACAACTCAGTACCCATGACACCCTTGAGTGGATTATTTTTACTACCAGATACAGATTGAGCTGTGCTATTCAACACTTATTTTCTTTTTTTAAAATGTATTTATTAAACTTTAAATTCTGGGATACATGTGCAGAACGTGCAGGTTTGTTACATAGGTATACATGTGCCATGGTGGTTTGCTGCACTCATCAACCCATCATCCAGGTTTTAAGCCCCATATGCATTAGGTATTTGTCCTAATGCTCTCCCTCACTTTGCCCCCCACCCCCTCAACACCTATTTTCTAGTGTTTTCACTTCTTTTTTGTAAACAGGAGAACAAGCTATGCCTACGTTGGAAATTATTACAGTCAGAAGTTTACCCACCTCAGATGTGTCTGAAGACTTCCTTCCCTAGAGCATTTAGCAATCCCTTTCATTCTTCTCCTGGGCATCATTAACATATTCCTTTTCTCTGACCAGCCTTAATCCATACCCTATCCATTCTTCCCATCAGACAGGCACTTTTTCATTCTAACATACTTGACTATATTTCAGATTGTGTGTCTTTGCCTGTGTGTATGCTATTATCAATCATTATGCTTTCCAAATTGGTGCTGAAGAGTGGTTTTGCCATTCCCTACACAAGTTTTAGTTTTAGTTTAAAACTCAAACACATCATAGGAATCATCATAAAAATAGATTTATACATGTATAAAAGAGAATCAGAATACTGATTAATTGTTTATGCTTTTCATATAAGTAATAAAGCCAGCAATTAAGAATTTCATTGATAGAATATGGTAGAATCTTTGTGCAAGCTGCTTAGCCCATATCCTGGCTCTGGACAGAAATGAACTTAAGCCTTCAGAAGACAACAGTCTGCCATTTTGCCTTATTCTCACAGAAAAATTATTTTATAGCACTTTAGTGAAGAAAGGAAGATGCATTATTTGACAGCTCTCCAAATCATAGCAAACGGGCTTAAATTTATTAATTGATTTTATCCATTTTGCTTTGAAAAAGTAAATAAGTAAAGTAGAATAAATGAGCCATATAGTTCCAGCCTGTTGAATACTTTAACCAAACTGGAAATTAATGAGGTGATTAAGGAAAAAAAATAGTAGAAGGAGATAAAAATAAGAGGCCTTAAATACTTCATTTGGAAGAACACAATTGTAAATACTTTTTAGTCTATTGAATGAAAATAAGAGTGTTTTGTTCCAATCTACACTCCTCCCCCTGAGCACTGCCAGCTAGTAGGGTGGCAGTGACAGTCTTGGTGAGTGACAGTCTTGGTCCCCGAGTGGACCTTTCTGTGACACCTTTCTCAGCAGGCCTCCGCCCACCAGTAGGCCTGCAGGACTTGCTCCTGCTGAGGAAGTCTCACACAGGTTTTCGCTCCCTTATCCTACTGTGGCCATGCTGCGCTGGTGTGAAGGAAAATAAGCTAGAATAGCAAAGATACATCTCGCATGAACTACTAGGTCACAATTGAAGTGGCAGAGATGTCATTGTCAATCAATAAAATTTTCCTGTCTTTGTAGCAAGTCTAACACGGTTAACTCAGACAATCATCCCCATAGCTGTACAAGACAATTAGGTCTAGAGATTCAAATCTATGCAATTTGTAAATAATCCCAAGAATAGGCAGAAGGCTATAAAGCAGTGTTACCTGTCCTTCATATTCAAAAGCATTTTGACATTCAAAAGCTCTCATACGGACACATGATAATTAAAGTTAAAAGATTACGGCAGCTGCATTTTAAAGAGTAATAATGTCACAATTAACATTAATTGTTAATTTTGTCTTAAAAATGAAATAAAAAATAAATGTAAACTTTTTCCAAAAGGTAGTACCAAGAGTGTGTTTCATTGAAAATTATTCTAACCTTCCCCCATGCTGCAAGTCTCTCCACAAAATAAAACATTTGCCAGTTAATGTGGACCTGATGTAACTGTTCTAGTCAGAAGGTCAAACATACTGAATCTGCTGCCAGAGCCAAGTTCAGATGAAATGTATGAAAAACACAGAAAGTCAAACCTTGCAGTGCGCTATAAATACTCATAAATACACTAAAATTTATAGTTCATTATGCTCCTGTTTTGTCCTTTCTGCCAAAGTCAAAAAGCTCACGGACCTTCATTTTAAAAGAAATTTACTGTACATTAGGAAGCAAGCCACATGGTGGTCCAAAACACTGCCAGTTCTCAGCAGGTCAAATAGGTGCTGATTGAGGATTTGAACTAGGTGCATCCTACGCAGTGCTACATATGAACATTGAATTTTGAGTGCAGGGCATGTGTATGTGTGTACTTTTAAATTGTTCTCTAAAGTCACTATTGTTTGAAGCTATCTCACCATTCAAATAAATGATAGAGAAATTGCCAGTAAGTTTTTCCAGTTTTCTAATATCATCAGCTATGTAAAAATATCCATTAAAAAGGAACTAGCATTTCTATGGCAATGAAGCACAGATGTTTTATGTGACTCTGGAACCATCAGGTAAAATCAATTTTTAAAAAGTACAAACCTAAATCATTTTTACTTTTAGCATATTTAAAAATTCAGATATGAACTGTTATTTTCTTTCAATATAGACCTGTTTATGAATTTATTTTTATTCAATTTTATTTAATGAATGCATTCTCTATCAAAAAAGTCTCAATATGAAACTGAAAATGTTTCAATTACATAGTATATTTGAAGAAATATAATAGCCATGTCATATAGGGCTTTGCTACTCAATTGTGTGGTCTGGGCACCAGCAATATTGGCCTTGCTTGGGAGCTTATAAAAGTTTCAGAATTTCAAGCCCTTTTCCAGAGCTACTGAATAAGAATCTGCATTTTAACATGATTCTCCTGTGATTCTTGTGCACACTAAAGTTTGTGGAACATGGATATAAAACAATAGCTTAAGCAGAAATCACATGGTACACCAAATGTTTTGTTAGCAGAAAAGCAAAATTCTGCTTAATATCCAGCTAATTACATTGGAGCAATTTAATTTCTCACTACAAAGTAATAAGGTTCATGCTATTCAGAATTATTTTGCAGGACACTGGTCAAAACGTTTTCTATATGATAGCCCACAGGATTTAATCCCCTCCCCCACCCCTGAAAAATACAACCTGATATTTTTTTCAAGAAAGTTGAGTTTTGTCTTAATTATGTAAATTAAATTCAGACGTAAGTCATCAGTATTTGATAAGACCCACTGACCAGAAAGTTTGTAAATTTTCTTTCTAGTGATATTTAATCCCATTAATTTATCTAATTTTGTTTTATTTAATCTTTTTCTTTATAAATACAATATAGCAACATTAAAAAAATAAAACTGTAAAATAAAACATGTGACCTCATTTCTTAAAGAACTGTGATCCATGGATGTGAAGGACCTATCTTTCTCCAACAGGTATTGGCTCTCCAGGTCAGGTTAGAAATCCATTGCCATGGCAATGTGCAGGACTGCCTAGGAGGCTACCTGAGCTTATATCTGGCCTTGTACAACAAAGATCATTAATCTCCAGGTCTCCCAATATGAATCTTTTGAAGAGCTATAAACACACCTACTGTGTTAGCCTTTCCAGAAATATTTTGAAAGAACGAATATCCACAGTGTTTTAGCCAGATCAAATGGAGCACAATCTGAAGTGAACCTGCCATCTAGAGTTTGCTCTCCTAGCCACTCATGAATATCCCACTTGAAAGCTCCAACATCCCTTTCAAAAACCCTAGTTTTAAAAGTCAAGATTATCAGTTTATAAATATGTCACATATCACACTTGTCTATCAAAGCTATTAATCTTTTGTGGGATCTATTTTATGGGCCATTGTGAAAATCTAACAAGTCTGAAATTTTTTTTCAGATAAATGCACAGGTACGTTTATCTCAAAAACTCTGTGTACAATGTCAAGGACTTCATTGTCCTCCAAAAGTCTTATTCCAAAGAATCCAATGGAAGATACCTTGCAACATGTGGTTCACCAAATGCTATGCAAGTCATCAAGCCCTACTATACACTGAAATAGATTAGATATTTAACTTGTAAAATATCACTAGCAGACATACACACCTTGTTTCTTCTTTGCTAAGTATGCTTATTTTCAAAATTGTTCTTTTTCAGAGAATGTAAATTCTTAATGATAGGAATAGTTTAGGCTCAAAATTGTACATTCTTGAAAGGATTATGTATTATTTTATTAAAGCTCTCTTTTTAAATATTAACTAGGAACTCACGAGTTACTTTCATTTGAAAAAAAACTTTCCTCAAATTTCAGGATGGGGAAATGAGCTCCAAAAAAGGTTAATACTTTTACATAAATAATAATGGAATAAAACAGTCTAATTAACAGCAACATCAGAGGAAAAATCCAACAACTCAAGAATATGCTAGACTTATAGCTCCTAGGAGGTATAATGAAAGCATTCCATTTATGGATTCATTGCCATCAAGGTGGTGGGGAATGATAGTGGACTGGAATTAAGGCAACCTCTCTCATAGGCATGTTGATCCCAGACTTATTTTAAAATTCCACACTGATTTTATTTTTGTCAGCATGTATGTGTTCTTTGAAAATGCAGAGTTTTAAGCATCATGGAAACTGAGCATGCCACATGAAACCCAGCAGTCATTAGTGGGTAAGATATATCACGTAAGGTACAAACTCCATTCCGACCTAACTTTTCACTATGTGTCCTCGAGCTATATCTTAGCTTAAAATGAAACATGAACATAAGCCAATTCTACAGCACTGAAGCCATCAAATCCAAGACAGAATGTCTGAAACCCATTTCAAACCAGAGTTTCTGATATGTTTTAACTAGTAAATGATGAACAATATGGGTTACAGGAGGGTAATCTGTAAAGGATTTGCCATAAGCATACATTATTGAACAGCATCTGTTTATTCTATATTTTCCAGAATTTTTAAGATAACATTTTATTAAATTCAACATTGCAACAAATCTGACAAAGAAGCTATTTTAATCTTAGAGTACATTAACCAGTACTATAACCAGAGTATGGCAGAGAGAATGCTGACCAAATTTTGGAGGTCCACCTCACACAAGTGAAGCATTTCAGACACTGTCATTAAAAACTGGAAAGAAGTCTCTACTAAAAATACAAAAATTTAGCCGGGCGCGGTGGCGGGCGCCTGTAGTCCCAGCTACTCGGGAGGCTGAGGCAGGAGAATGGCATGAACCCGGGAAGCGGAGCTTGCAGTGAGCCGAGATTGCGCCACTGCAGTCCGCAGTCCGGCCTGGGCGACAGAGCGAGACTCCGTCTCAAAAAAAAAAAAAAAAAAAAAAAAAAAAAAAAAAACTGGAAAGAAACTGTGTAGCAACCAGAATAGTGAAAGAATTTAAAACTTTGAGGCTGGAGAGAAACCCAAACTGTGTCTTCAAATATTTAAGGAATTTCCTCGTAGAATAGATATTAGATTATTTCTATGTGGATCTGGAAGAAAAAGCAAAAACCAATAGGTGGAAACTATAAAGACATATTAAAAATGAAATAGACTGCTTCATAGAGATTAATTTCCCATTAGTGAATTCAGGCAAGACAAACTTAGGACAGAGAACTAGATAAGAGGCCATAAATCCCCACATGTCAATTTATATTAGGTTTTTGTTGACTAGACCCACTTTTTTTTTTGCTTATATATGTCAAGCAATACCTTAGTAAGGTACTCACTTATTTTATCCCTAGTGGCATATTAATCAGGCAATGTCATAGATCTCTGGTTACTATTCCACCTCTGTGGTATCTATGGTCATTGTACACACCTCTTTTCTAAGGGTAAAGGCCATGATCTGGCCTCTCTACTCAGTAATCCCATTATTTTCATAAAAAACACCCAATCCCATCTCATTGTGGTACCCCCTACTGTTGTGCCTTGCCTACAAAGGACAGCTACATCTTAATTTTACAAGGATGGATGTTCTCTTGGCCTCATCTGAGAAATGCTTAAGGGAAGGTTGTAGGGGTCACACATAATAGATCCCCTCCAACATTCCCTACTTCCTAGGCCTACAGTATGCCAGGAATATGTCAAACTTATATCCTCATTGATTTTAGGATACTGTTAAGTCCAGGCTTTGTTTTTAATTGACAGCTATAAATTGTATATACTTATGGTGTACAACATGATGTTGAGACTACTGGATCACATGGTAATTCTATTTTTAATTTTTGAGGAACCTCCATACCATTTTTATGCTGGTTGTACAAATTTACATTTCTACAAATAGTGCACAGAGGTACTTTTCTCCAAAACCTCACCAACAGCTGTCATCTTTTATCTTTCTGATGATAACCATCTTAACATGCATGAGGTAATATCTTATTGTGTTTTTAGTTTGTATTTCTCTGATGGTTAGCAATGGTGAGCATTTTTTTCATGTACTTATTGGCCATTTTTATGTCTTATTTTAAGAATGGTGGCACATACCTGTAATCCCAGCCCTTTGGGAGGCCAAAGGCGGGTAGATCACCTGAGGTCAGGAGTTCGAGACCAGCCTGACTAACATGGTGAAACTCCATCTCTACGAAACACAGAAAATTAGCCAGGAGTGGTGGCGGGTGCCTGGAATCCCAGCTACTTCGGAGGCTGAGGCAGGAGAATCACTTGAAGCCAGGAGGCAGAGGTTTCAGTAAGCCGATATCACACCACTGCACTCCAGCCTGGGCAACAGGAGTGAAACTCTGTCAAAAAAAAAAAAGAAAGAAAGAAAGAAAGAAATAAAAAGAAAAGAAAGAAAGAAAGAAAGAAAGAAAGAAAGAAAGAAAGAAAGAAAGAAAGAAAGAAAGAAAGAAAGAGAAAAGCAAAATGTCTAT